>NC_000023.11:87917087-88220117 GCF_000001405.40 Homo sapiens | reverse complement strand
CAAAACTCAAATGTTAGCATTTAAACTCCAATAGAACGGTACTAAGAGGTGGAGCATTTCGGCAAGTGATTAAGTAACGAGGATTCTACCCTTGTGAATGCTATGAATGC
Organism: Homo sapiens; assembly: GCF_000001405.40. Lineage (NCBI taxonomy): Eukaryota > Metazoa > Chordata > Mammalia > Primates > Hominidae > Homo > Homo sapiens. The sequence continues at coordinate 88,220,007 of NC_000023.11, read as the reverse complement.
TTTTATAAAGAAACTTCAAAGAGCTACCAGGCTTTATCATCTTTTTTGCCCTTTCACCTTCTACCATGTGGTGATGCAAAAACAAAGGCACCATCTTGGAAACAAAGAGTGAGACTTCACCAGACACTAAATTTCCCTGTTTCGATCTTGGATTTACTGGCCTCCAGAACTGTGAGAAATACTTTTTTGTTGTTTATAAGTTACACGATCTAAGGTATTTTACTAGAGCAGCAGGAAGAAACTAAGGCAGTGGGTAAGATCACATCCGTTTCACAATGGAAAGCTCAGGTCTCTTGGTAACATGGTGGCCCGTGATTAAGTATTCAGTCTCTATTAGCAGCAGGCAATGTCTGTTTCTCAAAAGGAGAGTTGCTATCCACAGAAGATGACAGATTCTTGTTCCACAATCTTAAGGGCTGTGACTCACCTATAAGTGGCCTGCCAAAGGCACCAAACAGCATCTCTATCTGCCACTGACACTTTAAAACTGAATCCACTGGATTATATGGTCCAAATGGAACAGCAGCCGGCACAGTAGTCCAGACCTGTTCCACAGCCTTCTCTTTTTCTGCCCTCCACTCAAAACTAGTAGCTTCTCAAGTCACTCAATAAATGGGTCAGAGTAACACACTCAAATGATTAATATGTTGCCCCCCAAATCACTGGGATCTGTGCATCTTTTTGGTTGTAGGAATGGCCAGATGCAGCAATGTATCCTTTAACTTAGAAAACATTTCTTATCATGCCCCACGCCATTGCACACCTAAAATTACAACTGAGATACAAGTCCGCCAAATTTTTGTCAAATATATTTCTCACCCTCTGACACACAAATATTTTAGCAATAAGTCTAGACTAGTTGCTACTTCTTACTCACTAGTTTCAATCAGCCTGACTCCATCAATACAATGCAGTAGTGTGATATTTTGTGGGGGGAAAAAGGGTGATCAAGATCCCTGCAAACTAAATTATTACATAGGGCTAGAGAGTTGATATACCCCTGAGGTAGGACAGTTAAGGTGTATTGCTGGGCGAGCAGGCTGAAATGAAACTGCTTCTCATTGTCCTTATTGACAGATATAAAAAAAATTTTTTTTCAGATTAATAGCTGCATATCAGGTACCTGGGTTTGTGTTAATTTGCACAAAGCAATGAAACCACATGTGATACAGTAGCTGCAATTAGAATGACCACCTGGTTAAACTTGCCATAATTTACTGTCATTATCCAATATCCAATTGTCCTCTACACAGGTAAAATAAGTTAGTTAAATGGAGATGTAGTGGGAATCACCAAACCTGCATCTTTCAAGTCACCCGATGGTGGCAATAATCTCTGTAGTCTTTTCAAAAATATGGTTTTGCTTTTGGTTTACTATTTTCCTGGGTAGAGGCATTTCTAAGTAAATTCCATTTGGTTTTATCCACCATAATAAACCTCACTCCACAGGTCAGGGAACCAATTTGAAGAATCTGCCAGTTACTGTATCTATTCCAGTTATCCATTCTAGAACTGGAGGCAGAAACCACAGGATGAGTTGGAAGACTGAGTGGGCCTACTATGAGATGGACCTGGGCTCAAACTCCACTGATCACCTTATTTTCATAAGCCCCTACTCTGACTGGTAGGGCACAGTTTTGGGTCATCTAAAATTAATGTCAGTTCAGAGCCAGTATCCAATATTCCCTGAAATATCTGATTTTTTCCCCACAATGTACAGTTAGCGTTATAAAAGACCATAGATCCCTTTGGAGAAGGCTGGGAGAAATATTAATAATATGATTTTTAGCATTGTACCAGAGTCCTTCTTCACTAGGACCCAGTCTCCTCTTCATTCAAGGGGTTCTGGATCTGTAAACCGGCTCCTCAAGTCTGGGAATTGATTGAAAGGTCTTCACTCTGCTTTTTTATAATTCAAGTTAGACTTTTCTTCACTTGATCTAGGGCATTTTTTTGCTTATACAGATCAAGCAAGAATTTAATAGGCTTCTTATCTACTTTACTTCCAGGTATATCATTTATCAACTAGGCAACACCATAGGTGTGCAGAATAGTTAGACTATTCTGATTGTTGCTTTGATTCTGTTGCCCATTATTGTAACAAACCAACCTTATTTTTGATAGTTGTGTACAATCACTTGGCCTCTGCCACCCTGGAATCCAATTTCTGCTATTGCATTTAGTTTTCCCAGTTCAGTGAGTACAGTCCCACTGAAACATCTGTCCTAGAGAAAAGAGTGATTATAGAGCTCTTCAGGGATCCTAGGGCTCCCCTCAGAAATGTATTTCTCACAGTCATGATGAAATGCATATTTATTCCCACTTTACGTTCCTTTCACCGTTTCTCTACATCCTTGATACTGACCCTATCACGTTTCTCAGATTTCTGTCTATATAAATTGGAAAACTCTATTTGTTCTTTTGCAATGTAGCACACCTCCTTATGGTTCACAGTTTGTTCTTATAAGACTTGAGCCAAGGTATAGGTCTAAAAGTAGATAGGGTGATGAGGGTGGTTACTGAGAAGACTTAATATTGTCTTACATGGAAACTGCCCATTACCATTTTCTCAGCCAATGCAGGGTGAATCTCTTCAGATGAGGAGGGCACAAGTGGAGAGGTCACTTCCTTTCTCTGACGGTCAGTGACAGCTTCCACTGGAGATGAAAGACCTCTTCTATTTGCATAGTAAACTCATCAGAGTTTAGGAGTTTAATGTCTTCAGTTTCATCAGGGTCTTTTCACAGGTCTTGAATCCAACTTTTAGAATCCTATTCTTTCTCAATTAATGTCTTCACTTTAACAGTAGCTATCTTGCAAGGCCAGGAGTTAAACTTCCAGTATAATTCAGCAAGTAGCAAGATGAGATTCTGATTTTGATTATTAATAATCTCAGCCCTGCAGCCAAGGAAATGAAGATCTCCTTCAGGGCACATATAGAAGCTTTTAGGCTATTTATGTTATGCTTAAGCTAGAAATTCAAATTCCTGAACTCATTCTTTTTTATCCTCACATTTTACAGTGACATTAAGAGCTACCAGCCAATCTCATTATACTCATTAGTTTGACAAAAATGTTTCAAAGGTATCATATACATCTTCACTCAAACCTTGCTTTCTATATATTTGATTATGACTATCCAAACATGATATTTTGAATATATCTAATTCCAAATCATACCATGGACTTACAGTTATATCTTTATTACTGGAAATAGTCATTAGTGTTTGAAATATAAACAAATTACAGAACCAGTTCCAGAAAACACATAATCAATTCAGAAATAACATCTTTGATATTCTATTCTTCTAGAAGCACTCTGGATACCAAACTCTGTATTAGTCAGGTTTCTTCAGGAAAACAGACTGAATAGGATGTGTATGAATGGATGAATGGATAGATAGATAGATAGACAGATAGATAGATAGGTAGATAGATAGATATTATAAATAATTCACTCACACAATTACGGAGGATAACAATTTCCAAGATCTGCAGTCAGCAAGCTGGAGACTCAGGAGAGTGGTTGGTTTAGTTCCAGTTAAAATGCCAGCTAACTCAGGATCCAGAAACAGCCAGTGTTTTAGTTTGAGACCAAAGGTAGTGATAGAAGCAATGTCCCAGGTGAGGGTACTCTGGCAGGAGAAGTTCCCTCCTACTCATGAAAGGGTTGGCCTTTTTGTTTTATTCTGGGTTTCAACTGATTGGATGAGTCTCTCTGATACTTGACGTTAGCAATGGCAATCTGCTTTACTTAATATAGCAATTCACGTGCTATTCTTATCCAGAAACATCCTCACAGGAATACCCATAATAATAGTTGGCCAAATATCTGGGCCCCTTGCAGCCCAGTCAAGTTGATATATGAAATTAACCATCAAAGGGTACTACTATAATCTCCATTTTACAAATAATAAAACCAAATGTAACAGAGGTTGGCCATGGTCAAACAGCTGGCTACTAGAAGAAATCTTCTGATTAGAGGGCTAGCATGCCTATCCTGTGTTATAGAAGTCTTCCCACAGAAGTCTCCAATAGACTCTACAAGGACAGAAACTATGTCTGATTTATCCTCTCCAAACTGAATTCAGTTCTCAAACTTAAGCCTTCAATCAGAAAGGTCTCAGATACATTCATAGCATATTTTTAAATGTTGAAATGATTTTAAGCTCTGGTTTTTGAAAATCTACTTATTTTGAGAAATGATTTGACAATACTCTTTTATTTCTTTTGATTATAAACTTCTGTAAGATTGTCATGGCATCTAGAAATAACTGCCTTAATATGCCCCCATCTAGTATTTTCTGTTTTAGAGACATAAAATCCACAAAATTTGCATTATCCAAGAAAGACAATTGCTTTTGTCAGAAATATAGCATGAAGCAAAATTGAATCAAATGCTTCTGTACAGTTATTTCACAAAATGGCAACACTCTGTGTGATAGCCAGAATAGTGTCCCACAAAAAGCTATCTAAGTCCTAATTCCTGGAAATTAAGAATGGGTTAGGTTAGAAAGCAAACAGGAAATTAAAGTTGCTAATTAGCTAATCTTAAGAAAAAGGGAGATTATCCTGGCTTAACTGAGTGTTCCAATGTAATTGAAAGGGTCCTTAAATATGGAACAAGGAGAAAGAAGCAGAAGACAGAATTAGAATGAGATGTGACTACAGAAGGGACAATCAGAGGAATGGCAGCTTGAGGACTCAGCCTGATATTGCTGGTTTTGAAGATGTAGGAAGGAGCCATGAGCCACAGAGAGTGACCAGCAGCTAGAACCTAGAAAGAACAATGAAATTGATTTTTTTTTTTCCAGAGACTCCAGAAAGAAGCACTGCCCTGTTAATGCTTTTATTTTAGCCCAATGAGACCCATGTCAGATGATATACCTTCAAACCTTTAAGGTAATAAATACATTTTGTTTTAAACCAATTAATTTGTGTTAATTTGTTACAACAGCAAATAGAAAACAATTACATTATGAATAGCTGCATCAAATGAGTCTACTGAGAATGGCCATTATGCTTTGTTGCGATAAAGGTATTATAATGAAAGGCTCCAAGATATTATAATAATATGCTACTTTACTTTTCTTTTCTTCTTTTTTTTGGGAGGTTTCGTACTGACAACGCAGTCTATATGGTGTACACAATGATGTTCAAACAATAATCACCTGCCTTGGTCAGTGCCAGCTCCTCTGAGAATTTCACTGGTGATGTTTATCCACCTGTGGTTTGATCAAATGAGAAACAGTGCTCAGTTATATCCTTTGCACTCTCATTATTTGTCACACACTAACCTCTATCCAACAAGGGTAACGCTGTTCTAATAACAAGGTTTGTTCACTCAAGTTGGTGAGTGTGTTGGTCAAATGTTCTTGCATTCTAGTAAGAACCAAGTTCATCTATTGATTCTACCACTTATTACCTATGTGGTCATAAATTATGTAAACCTTTCTGAGTCCCAGTATTCCCTATATATAAATTCATACAATAATAACATATAATTCATTGGATTTTTCAGAAGTTTAATTTATATGTTTGGAGCTGAGCTGAGCTACCAAGTGCTGGGGTAGCAGATTAAGAAAACAAGTAAAAATGTAATTAAAAATCAAGACTTTAATTACTTAATGAAATTAGTATAAGCAAAACGTCTAAACCATAGAAAGTAGCGAGTCCCCCACTGTTCCACTGTTCCCCATAGAATTGCACTGATCTAGTGTGAGGTGAATCAGCACAGATATGGAGAATGATCTCACTGCCAAGGAACCTCAAACCAAAGGTTCCTGTCTTGTCTTTTATGGAACCAAAACCTGGGGTAGTGAGAGGGTAAAGAGCTAGTAACGGAAAAGTATTGAGTACTGAGTAAGAGTGGAGGAAAAGTGTTTTCAAATTTCCTCTCCGCCGCCCCTATTCCCTGGCCCATAAAGAGGTCTTCGCAGAGGCACCTGAGGAATGCCTTGGCCAAAGGCCCAGATGAAGAAACCTCTTTTTTTTTTTTTATAGGCAACACAAAGGCAAGTTTATTTGTTTAAACCATTTTGAATGTGAAAAAGAAGGTAATTATGAAGGATATTTCTTTATTATCTTCTTTTTTTTAATTTATTATACTTTAAGTTTTAGGGTACATGTGCACATTGTGCAGGTTAGTTACATATGTATACATGTGCCCTGTTGGTGCGCTGCACCCACTAACTCGTCATCTAGCATTAGGTATATCTCCCGATGCTATCCCTCCCCCCTCCCCCCACCCCACAACAGTCCCCAGAGTGTGATATTCCCCTTCCTGTGTCCATGTGATCTCATTGTTCAATTCCCACCTATGAGTGAGAATATGCGGTGTTTGGTTTTTTGTTCTTGCGATAGTTTACTGAGAATGATGATTTCCAATTTCATCCATGTCCCTACAAAGGACATGAACTCATCATTTTTTATGGCTGCATAGTATTCCATGGTGTATATGTGCCACATTTTCTTAATCCAGTCTATCACTGTTGGACATTTGGGTTGGTTCCAAGTCTTTGCTATTGTGAATAATGCCACAATAAACATATGTGTGCATGTGTCTTTATAGCAGCATGATTTACAGTCCTTTGGGTATATACCCAGTAATGGGATGGCTGGCTCAAATGGTATTTCCAGTTCTAGATCCCTGAGGAATCGCCACACTGACTTCCACAATGGTTGAACTAGTTTATAGTCCCACCAACAGTGTAAAAGTGTTCCTATTTCTCCACATCCTCTCCAGCACCTGTTGTTTCCTGACTTTTTAATGATTGCCATTCTAACTGGTGTGAGATGGTATCTCATTGTGGTTTTGATTTGCATTTCTCTGATGGCCAGGGATGATGAGCATTTTTTCATGTGTTTTTTGGCTGCATAAATGTCTTCTTTTGAGAAGTGTCTGTTCATGTCCTTTGCCCACTTTTTGATGGGGTTGTTTGTTTTTTTCTTGTAAATTTGTTTGAGTTCATTGTAGATTCTGAATATTAGCCCTTTGTCAGATGAGTAGGTTGCGAAAATTTTCTCCCACTTTGTAGGTTGCCCATTCACTCTGATGGTAGTTTCTTTTGCTGCGCAGAAGCTATTTAGTTTAATTAGATCCCATTTGTCAATTTTGTCTTTTGTTGCCATTGCTTTTGGTGTTTTAGACATGAAGTCCTTGCCCATGCCTATGTCCTGAATGGTAATGCCTAGGTTTTCTTCTAGGGTTTTTATGGTTTTAGGTCTAACGTTTAAGTCTTTAATCCATCTTGAATTGATTTTTGTATAAGGTGTAAGGAAGGGATCCAGTTTCAGCTTTCTACATATGGCTAGCCAGTTTTCCCAGCACCATTTATTAAATAGGGAATCCTTTCCCCATTGCCTGTTTTTCTCAGGTTTGTCAAAGATCAGATAGTTGTAGATATGCGGCGTTATTTCTGAGGGCTCTGTTCTGTTCCATTGATCTATATCTCTGTTTTGGTACCAGTACCAAGCTGTTTTGATTACTGTAGCCTTGTAGTATAGTTTGAAGACAGGTAGTGTGATGCCTCCAGCTTTGTTCTTTTGGCTCAGGATTGACTTGGCGATGTGGGCTCTTTTTTGGTTCCATATGAACTTTAAAGTAGTTTTTTCCAATTATGTGAAGAAAGGCATTGGTAGCTTGATGGGGATGGCATTGAATCTGTAAATTACCTTGGGCAGTATGGCCATTTTCACGATATTGATTCTTCCTACCCATGAGCATGGAATGTTCTTCCATTTGTTTGTATCCTCTTTTATTTCCTTGAGCAGTGGTTTGTAGTTCTCCTTGAAGAGGTCCTTCACATCCCTTGTAAGTTGGAGTCCTAGGTATTTTATTCTCTTTGAAGCAATTGTGAATGGGACTTCACTCATGATTTGGCTCTCTGTTTGTCTGTTGTTGGTGTATAAGAATGCTTGTGATTTTTGTACATTGATTTTGTATCCTGAGACTTTGCTGAAGTTGCTTATCAGCTTAAGGAGATTTTGGGCTGAGACAATGGGGTTTTCTAGATATATAATCATGTCATCTGCAAACAGGGACAATTTGACTTCCTCTTTTCCTAATTGAATACCGTTTATTTCCTTCTCCTGCCTAATTGCCCTGGCCAGAACTTCCAACACTATGTTGAATAGGAGTGGTGAGAGAGGGCATCCCTGTCTTGTGCCAGTTTTCAAAAGGAATGCTTCCAGTTTTTGCCCATTCAGTATGATATTGGCTGTGGGTTTTGTCATAGATAGCTCTTATTATTTTGAAATACATCCCATCAATACCTAATTGATTGAGAGTTTTTTAGCTTGAAGGGTTGTTGAATTTTGTCAAAGGCTTTTTCTGCATCTATTGAGATAATCATGTGGTTTTTGTCTTTGGCTCTGTTTATATACTGGATTACATTTATTGATTTGCGTATATTGAACCAGCCTTGCATCCCAGGGATGAAGCCCACTTGATCATGGTGGATAAGCTTTTTGATGTGCTGCTGGATTCGTTTTGCCAGTATTTTATTGAGGATTTTTGCATCAATGTTCATCAAGGATATTGGTCTAAAATTCTCTTTTTTTGTTGTGTCTCTGCTGGCTTTGTTATCAGAATTATGCTGGCCTCATAAAATGAGTTAGGGAGGATTCCCTCTTTCTCTATTGATTGGAATAGTTTCAGAAGGAATGGTACCAGTTCCTCCTTGTACCTCTGGTAGAATTCAGCTGTGAATCCATCTGGTCCTGGACTCTTTTTGGTTGGTAAGCTATTGATTATTGCCACAATTTCAGCTCCTGTTATTCGTCTATTCAGAGATTCAACTTCTTCCTGGTTTAGTCTTGGGAGAGTGTATGTTTCTAGGAATTTATCCATTTCTTCTAGATTTTCTAGTTTATTTGCGTAGAGGTCTTTGTAGTATTCCCTGATGGTAGTTTGTATTTCTGTGGGATTGGTGGTGATATCCCCTTTATCATTTTTTATTGCATCTATTTGATTCTTCTCTGTTTTTTTCTTTATTAGTCTTGCTAGTGGTCTATCAATTTTGTTGATCCTTTCAAAAAACCAGCTCCTGGATTCATTAATTTTTTGAAGGGTTTTTTGTGTCTCTATTTCCTTCAGTTCTGCTCTGATTTTAGTTATTTCTTGCCTTCTTCTAGCTTTTGAATGTGTTTGCTCTTGCTTTTCTAGTTCTTTTAATTGTGATGTTAGGGTGTCAATTTTGGATCTTTCCTGCTTTCTCTTGTGGGCATTTAGTGCTATAAATTTCCCTCTACACACTGCTTTGAATGCGTCCCAGAGATTCTGGTATGTTGTGTCTTTGTTCTCGTTGGTTTCAAAGAACATCTTTATTTCTGTCTTCATTTCGTTATGTACCCAGTAGTCATTCAGGAGCAGGTTGTTCAGTTTCCATGTAGTTGAGCGGTTTTGAGTGAGATTCTTAATCCTGAGTTCTAGTTTGATTGCACTGTGGTCTGAGAGATAGTTTGTTATAATTTCTGTTCTTTTACTTTTGCTGAGGAGAGCTTTACTTCCAACTATGTGGTCAATTTTGGAATAGGTGTGGTGTGGTGCTGAAGAAAATGTATATTCTGTTGATTTTGGGTGGAGAGTTCTGTAGATGTCTATTAGGTCCACTTGGTGCAGAGCTGAGTTCAATTCCTGGGTATCCTTGCTGACTTTCTGTCTCGTTGATCTGTCTAATGTTGACAGTGGGGTGTTAAAGTCTCCCATTATTAATGTGTGGAAGTCTAAGTCTCTTTGTAGGTCACTCAGGACTTGCTTTATGAATCTTGGTGCTCCTGTATTGGGTGCATATATATTTAGGATAGTTAGCTCTTCTTGTTGAATTGATCCCTTTACCATTATGTAATGGCCTTCTTTGTCTCTTTTGATCTTTGTTGGTTTAAAGTCTGTTTTATCAGAGACTAGGATTGCAACCTCTGCCTTTTTTTGTTTTCCATTGGCTTGGTAGATCTTCCTCCATCCTTTTATTTTGAGCCTATGTGTGTCTCTGCACGTGAGATGGGTTTCCCTAATACAGCACACTGATGGGTCTTGACTCTTTATCCAATTTGCCAGTCTGTGTCTTTTAATTGGAGCATTTAGTCCATTTACATTTAAAGTTAATATTGTTATGTGTGAATTTGATCCTGTCATGATGATGTTAGCTGGTTATTTTGCTCGTTAGTTGATGCAGTTTCTTCCTAGTCTCGATGGTCTTTACATTTTGGCGTTATTTTGCAGTGGCTGGTACCGGTTGTTCCTTTCCATGTTTAGTGCTTCCTTCAGGAGCTCTTGTAAGGCAGGCCTGGTGGTGACAAAATCTCTCAGCATTTGCTTGTCTGTAAAGTATTTTATTTCTCCTTCACTTATGAAGCTTAGTTTGGCTGGATATGAAATTCTGAGTTGAAAATTCTTTTCTTTAAGAATGTTGAATATTGGCCCCCACTCTCTTCTGGCTTGTAGGGTTTCTGCCAAGAGATCCGCTGTTAGTCTGATGTGCTTCCCTTTGAGGGTAACCCGACCTTTCTCTCTGGCTGCCCTTAACATTTTTTCCTTCATTTCAACTTTGGTGAATCTCACAATTATGTGTCTTGGAGTTGCTCTTCTCGAGGAGTATCTTTGTGGCGTTCTCTGTATTTCCTGAATCTGAATGTTGGCCTGCCTTGCTAGATTGGGGAAGTTCTCCTGGATAATATCCTGCAGAGTGTTTTCCAACTTGGTTCCATTCTCCCCATCACTTTCAGGTACACCAATCAGACGTAGATTTGGTCTTTTCACATAGTCCCATATTTCTTGGAGGCTTTGCTCATTTCTTTTTATTCTTTTTTCTCTAGACTTCCCTTCTCGCTTCATTTCATTCATTTCATCTTCCATCGCTGATACCCTTTCTTCCAGTTGATCGCTTCGGCTCCTGAGGCTTCTGCATTCTTCACGTAGTTCTCGAGCCTTGGTTTTCAGCTCCATCAGCTCCTTTAAGCACTTCTCTGTATTGGTTATTCTAGTTATACATTCTTCTAAATTTTTTTCAAAGTTTTTAACTTCTTTGCCTTTGGTTTGAATGTCCTCCCGTAGCTCAGAGTAATTTGATCGTCTGAAGCCTTCTTCTCTCAGCTCGTCAAAGTCATTCTCCATCCAGCTTTGTTCCTTTGCTGGTGAGGAACTGCGTTCCTTTGGAGGAGGAGAGGCGCTCTGCGTTTTAGAGTTTCCAGTTTTTCTGTTCTGTTTTTTCCCCATCTTTGTGGTTTTATCTACTTTTGGTCTTTGATGATGGTGATGTACAGATGGGTTTTTGGTGTGGATGTCCTTTCTGTTTGTTAGTTTTCCTTCTAACAGAGAGGACCCTCAGCTGCAGGTCTGTTGGAGTACCCTGCCATGTGAGGTGTCAGTGTGCCCCTGCTGGGGGGTGCCTCCCAGTTAGGCTGCTCGGGGGTCAGGGGTCAGGGACCCAGTTGAGGGGGCAGTCTGCCCGTTCTCAGATCTCCAGCTGTGTGCTGGGAGAACCACTGCTCTCTTCAAAGCTGTCAGACAGGGACATTTAAGTCTGCAGAGGTTACTGCTGTCTTTTTGTTTGTCTGTGCCCTGCCCCCAGAGATGGAGCCTACAGAGGCAGGCAGGCCTCCTTGAGCTGCGGTGGGCTCCACCCAGTTCGAGCTTCCTGGCTGCTTTGTTTACCTAAGCAAGCCTGGGCAATGGCGGGCGCCCCTCCCCCAGCCTTGCTGCAGCCTTGCAGTTTGATCTCAGACTGCTGTGCTAGCAATCAGCGAGACTCCGTGGGCATAGGACCCTCCGAGCCAGGTGCGGGATATAATCTCTTGGTGCACCGTTTTTTAAGCCCGTCGGAAAAGCGCAGTATTCTGGTGGGAGTGACCCGATTTTCAAGGTGCCGTCCATCACCCCTTTCTTTGACTCAGAAAGGGAACTCCCTGACCCCTTGCACTTCCCAAGTGAGGTAATGCCTCGCCCTGCTTCGGCTCGCGCACGGTGCGCGCACCCACTGACCTGCGCCCACTGTCTGGCACTCCCTAGTGAGATGAACCCGGTACCTCAGATGGAAATGCAGAAATCACCAGTCTTCTGCGTCGCTCACGCTGGGAGCTGTAGACCGGAGCTGTTCCTATTTGGCCATCTTGGCTCCTCCCCCCTTCTTTCGAAGAAACCTCTTAATGGAGATCCCTGGGATAGAAATGAAGGTAGTCATAAGAGCATGACCACCCAGAGGAGCCTGGGTCCTTGACTGCAACTGCCTTCAGGGACTCAATGTGTTGGCTGCACACACTAAGTCTTGTGTTGGGAGGCAGCTTATCTCATGATGCCTGCCAGGCAAAGCTTCTGTAATTAATTGCATATGGTTGGGCCTGAAAAATTATACACAGTTTTTTAGCCAGGAGCTGGGCTTATATAATTTATGTAAAACATCTAGCAGAGCAATCGTAGTGACCTTTCAATAAAGGGTAGCTATTATTCTTTTAGCTATTAAGTTCTGTTCATTTCACTCAGCCATAGTAGGAATCTTCCATAAACCTTTTGCTCTATTTGTGTCACTTTGGTGGAAAGTTTCCCTTATGTACCTGAACAAAAGGAATTTAGTTCTTTAATTATTTTTCTTATCTTACAGTTTAGATCTAAAGGTAGTAGAGCTGCTTCATTTTGTCAGACTTCTTGCTGTTAATAAAATGATGTTTCACTGATGAATGCAGAGAAATAGAGTAAGAGTTAAGAGATAGAGTAAGAGTTAAAGCAGCATTAACCCATCAGGCTCCTTACAGATAAGTACAACCTGTAGAGTAAATATCTGAAGACACTTAAATAACCCAAGACAAGTGTAGCCAAGTGTAGTATTTATCTGATCAATAAAGAAAAATGTAGGTAGTAATTTGGAGGCAGAGTTGATTAAAAGCAATCTCACCTTCCCTTCTCTATATTCTATGTGCTCATTTATGATTTTACTAATATATGTCTGTATGGTTGTAGCAAATATCTTTCTATTACAAAAATATTATACAAGTAGCAGGCTGCAATTAAAATTTTGGCATGCTACTTTCAAAAGCATAATTATCTTAAAATCAACTATTTGATGATCAATTTAAACTTAATAATTAAACATCATTATGATCACAATTTTCACGGGGGGTCATTTCAAAGTTAACATCATAAGCCACATTACTTTAAAAATAAAAAGGAAACAAGGAACCTGGTTTGTAGGCTAGGTTTTCTCTCTATACTCACGTTAATGAATTTTTTTCAGCTACATTATCGCTTTACTCTCTGATCTCATTTACTTTTTAAGTACTCTTTGCTTTAATGCATTTGATGGTATATTGCATAATATTTAAATTATTTTACTATTGTTAAACAAGTTTTGTATTATCAAACATCTGGAAGCAAGTAAAATGGAACAGCTATTAATTTTGAGCCCATTTTTTCTAAGCATTTGTGCATTCATATTTTAAATGGTTAAAATTTGAATAACATGTTAAACAAATATATATTTAATACAATTTAGATTCAAATTATTTTAATTTCTTCTACTGCTAGATGCATGTGCAAGTCAAAATAAATGAGACAAAAGTGCTTAAGTCCAAAAGTGACCCTAGAAGAGTCTTTTGAAGTTCTCCCCAAACATCATGATACAATCGTTTCTTTTCACATACCTCTTCTTTTGGTTTAAATATAGAGACTTTTTAAAACTTATCTCTTTCAGAATGTAAGAGTTATATCCACGTTTCCCCTAAAAGAGATCACCAGCTCAGAAGGTAAAGGATATCTTCCAATTAAAATGCTTTCCCTGAATTTTATGTTAATGTTGGCTTGGTATCACTTTGATGATTTAAGGTTCAAACTCTAAAGGTCCATCAAAGCAGTATGAAACACATTTAAGGGCAAATACCAAAGATATATATTGATTTTTCTGTTGTCCCCATAGCATAGATATTTCAGCTTGATAAACCGATGAGAACTTTTTCAAAGTTAAGTAAATCGGTAGTTGTAAAGTAAAAATAAAATCATAATAAATATATCAAATATATGTATTTTAGTTTTCCTCCATAACAAATGCTTTGATAAAGATATTCATGTTGTTGCTCACATTTTTTGAGTTTTCTTTATATTTTGTGATGATTAAAATTATGTAAATAGGGATGCGATGCCAGCAAAATGGTGCACTAGGAAACTTACCAAGCAAATGCCTAATCAAGAAGCTACATTTCAATGGTAGGAAATGTGATGACATTTTTATTCACACTTGCCCTACGCACCCTTTGGTACAGTGTGGTGCCATCAGGTGGAAGTTGCCAAATCCCTGGTTTCCTCTCAGGGGCCTGAATGAGCAGAGAAAAAATTATTTGCATCATTCTAACCCGGCTTTGGGCTGCCTGAGAGACTGATTTCTGTCTCGGAGCTCATAAAGAAAAGGGGAGCATAGCTGGGATCTCAAACCAGTGAAAGCAATAGAAGGCAATAGTGGACACTGAAGAATGTAAAAGCTGCAGCAGTGTTGTAGACCCCTGTGGCAAGAGATGATGGGTAGAAGAGTACAATAGAGTATGTAAGGTTCCTAGAAAAAGCTGGGATGAGACTCCTTGGGAATTTAAGACACTTAAAGACAGCAATTTCTATGGGGGGAACAAAAAATAGTACACATATGAGCCCAGGTAAGACACATACCCAGAAAAGACCACAGAAGACTTTAAGCTTTCACTGTAGGCTGGTTCCAAGACTCAGAACTCACCTTCTTAATTAGCAAAAGTTTCACAACCAGTCTGCAAAGATTGGGAGAAGTTGTTTTGTAATCCACTAATTTTCAATCAAAATAGCACAATATATTCAAAGAAACAGAAGAACATGGCCCATTAAAAAGAAAAAAGTAAATCTGCAGAAACTCACTGAGAAACACAGTCATCAGACTTTCTAAAGAAATAATTTCAACTTTTGTTTTAGATTCAGGTGGTACATATGCAGGTTTGTTACATGGTTATATTGCATGACACAGAGGCTTGGAGTATGAATTATCTTGTTACAGGTAATGAGCATAGTACCCAGTGGAGAGGTTTTGATCCCTCGATCCCCTCTCTCTCTCTCTCCCCTCTAGTTCTCCTCAGTATCTATTTTTCCCATATTTATGTCCATGTGTACCAAACTTACCAGACAGAATGTTAGAATACCCAATTTAAATGTGTGCAAAGAGCTAAGGGAAAATACAACGAACTAACAGAAGTTAGGAAAACAATATAAGAACAAAATACGAATATCAACAAATAGAAATTATGAAAAAGAACCATACAGAAATCCAGCATTAAAGAGGAATGACATTCTGACACATACTAAAACAGATGAACCTTGAAGACTTTCTGCTAAATGAAATAAGCCAGTCACAGCAACAACAAAAAAAACAAATACTGTATGTTTCCACATTCATGAGGTGCATAGAGTGACCAAATTCATAGAGACAGACAGTTGAATGGTAGTTGCCAGGAGCTTCCGGGAGGAGAGAGAAAAGAGTTACTGTTTAAAGGGTACAGAGCTTTAGTATTAGAAGATAAAAAAAATTCTGGTGGTAATGGTTGCACAATGTGAATGTGATTAATATCATTACATTATACATTTCAAAATGATTCAAATAATAAATTTTACATTGTGCATATGCACCTCAAAAAATCGAAAAATATCATATAAAATAAATTGGACTACAGTTAATTGTCAGATGAATGTGTCCCTGCCATTAAACTTTGAAAAGGCCAGAATCAAGAAAATAAGCATCTGTCATTTCCCTTTCCTCTTTGTTTTTCACAGAATGACAGTGAACTTATAAAATATTTGTCTCTTATGTGTTTGAAAAGCACACAAAACTGAGAATTAGGTGGCAACAATAGGAGCTCTGTTTTTTCTTCTTAAGAGTGACTGTGGTATGGGCACAAAATGCCTCTGGATGTGACCCCTGATTCTATCGTGATTACACAGGATCAAAGCCATCAGTATTACCATTTTTTTCTCCTCAGACTGTTTAAGTTCAAAATTTTCACTAATACATTCTCTGAAAACGACTCTGTTTACTCTGATTATTGTAAATGTGGTTGTTAACAGAAGAAGTAATGCTGGTGTGGTTTTATGATTTCAATGCGATGGGGCAAAGATGGGGCTGGAAGTAATGGACAGAAACAATTCTACACATCTTGTATCACAGCATATTCTAATTCATACTTGAAATTTTACTCAATTTTAGGTAAATAAAAATCATATTCCTCTACACATAAAGAATGACTATCTACATTCATCATGACCACCAATAGTGACTAAAAATCAGAAAAAATCTAATCCGACAAGAGAAAGGAATAAAGTAAATGAGTAGAGAGAACATCTGTTCCTGGTTTCAGAATGTTCCTGAGGCCAAGTTATACGCCTATTACTTGATTCCACAAGATGAAGTATAATTAATTTCTCCTTATGCTTAAGTTAGAGCTCATGTATTTCTGCTACTTTTAACTAAAAAGCTATGCATATATATATATATATATATATATATATATATATATATATATATGCAATAACTCTGGAAGCAGATATATATATATATATAACCACTCCTTTCCTGCCTCATTCACCTATTCTCTCACTGCCTCAGCTAATTCCCCGCCACAGGATATTATCTGCACTGACCCTTTCAAACTGCTCAGCTCTCATTGACTCCACTGGCTGTCTCTTAAGGTGTTGCCCTTTTAGCAAGTATTACCTGGAAAATTAAAGAAGTCTCTACATTTGAACATTTAAAGATATTGTGCATGTAAAGTACTTAGAATTGTGCTTGGAATATAAGAAGTGCTTGATAAATAATAGCTATCATGTAAAACATAAAACACATATAATAGTTCTTCCAATTACCATAATTTTCCCCTGTGTAGTCACAGATTATTTTAACGGATTCAGCAAAGACCCATGGGACACATATAGCCAATAATCAATGCGACATTTTATAAGCAGTGAAAATTAATTAAAGTAGTTGCTTATGGTTATTGACTAATAATAAATGATACTTTTATATTCATCCGACATATACGCACATGTACACAACAACCAGACATTAATCTATGAAGAATATGAGAAAGAACAAAAATTTGAATCAGGTTACGCAACACAAAAAAGCCAGTAACTTGAGAAGAATGTGACTTTTTTCTTACAAACTTCAGAGCTGCCTAGGCTTTTATTAAGTTGACGCCATTTTATAATCCTCGGCAAAATGCATTTGCATTACTTTCTGCTCGCGCAGAACCATAAGGTCCATGAGAGGGGAGAGATTAGGACCTTCTCAGATCTTTCCTGGGCATGAGCACAACCCTGAGCATATGCATGGCATACCAGCTTTTCAGTAATATGCCAGATCTTCTCTAAGCCCTCAGTGGGTATCTGATCAGCCTTCCCGTTAAAGATTTTTCATCAGATACTCGTTTGCCCAAATTGTTATTGCCACCTGTGTTTTCAATGTTAAATTATTGGTGCCTTTTTTTTTTTTTTGACTAACGACACAAGGAAAAAGACTGTTACTAGTGAGCAAGCTTTGATTTGGGTAATGTAAAGACAGGCTCTACAAGTGTGGGATTCCAGAACACTGACAGAAAGGTCAATTCATAAAAATTTAGGTATGAGGCTTTGGGGACACATTAGACCCAATTAGCCCCCTCCAGTGGCCATTAGGCTGCATGTTTTTATGGTTATTTTGATAATAGGCCTGTTGATACTCAACTCTACCCTGGAGCTGGGGAGGGGCAGATGAGACAAGAGTACCTCAAAATGCTGCAAAGCACTCTCTTCTTATCAAGATTTAGCCATTTTCGAATAAATATTTCTTATATTTTTGTACATCCTTGGTTAATTTAAATCATTCTAAAAAAGTTTATATTGACAACTTTTCCCCAGTGCCCTCAGTGCTCTTATGGTGAAGCAGATTTTCATGGCTCCTTATTCTACCATTTTGGAAGTTCTCTCTCTATTCATTTTTTATATCTACGTGTGTGTGTGTGTGTGTGTGTGTATGTGATATATGTGTGTGTGTGCATATATATACACACACATGCATACATATATATACATATATGAGAAAGTTATTGGGTTTCTATATATAAGTGCATTTATATATAAACTATGCAGTATATACACAGTATGTATACTTAATTGACAATACTGTTGAATACAATGAAAAACTATGATTATTATTTTGGGAAGTAAAACAGCCAGATTGTGGGCCAAATGTAGTTTCCTGGTTTTTCGTTTATGTTGTTTTGTCTCAAGACGCCAGACCAATCAGTTTAGTCTGTTACCATATTTGATTCCTTGTTATTCTCATCTGGCCTTACCCTATCTTAGGGTTCTTCCTCAAAAATAAATTCAACCTGTTCTTCCACAAAATGACTTGAATATATGGATTTGCCCTTAGCTATTTGGACTTACATGATCTTAGAGAATATTGGTATGGAGTATTAGGATACTTCATTGCTAAGGCTGGGAACACCAACCAACTTTCAAAACAGATTACTCTGCCAAGCATTCACCATCCTAGTTATTCATTCTACTTTTTGATATTTCAATGCTCCAGCCCAATCCACTTCACCATTTCTGTGTTTATGTTACTGTCTCTCTAAACATTTAACCTTGAGGTTAGACTTCCTGCTTCTGCTCAATTTTAACTTATATACCTGACTGTTTAATGTATTCTGAGTCCCAATTAATTTTGTTCTAGCACCTTGTTATAAATTGGCCTACATTTTTATGCTGTCTGTGAAACAAAGAACAAGACATTGTTATAGTTTCTAAGAAGTAATAGATCCTTCTCAGATATCAAAGACGACAGGGTGTTTTTAAAATATCAAACATTCGTTTTAACTTTAAAATAGCTTACATTTTACAAAAAAGTTGTGAAGACAGCACAGAGAATTCCCAGATACCCCACAACAAGCTCCCTCTATTGTTAGCATGTTAAATTATGTTGGTTTGTCACACTTAATGAGCCAATATGAACCTTTTTATTACTAAAAATGTCAGTTAATAAAAAATGATGTTTTTATTAACTAAAATACAAACTTTCTTCAGATTTTCTCAGTTTTTTCTTAATATTCATTTTCTGTTCTAGCACCTTATCCAGAATATTATGTTACATTTATTTCTCAAATCTCCTTAGGCACCTCTGTGCTATGACAGATTCTTAGGCTTGTTTGTAATAATTTTTACAATTTTGAAAATACCCGCTTAGGTATTTTGTAGAACATTCCTCAGTTTCAGTTTGTCTCATATATATACATTTTTTTTTTCCTCGTGGTTAGACTGAAGTTATGGGTTGTGGGAAGGAAGACCACAGAGGTAAAGTGCCACTTTCATCACATTTTATCAAGGGTACATATTACCAGTATAACTTACCACTCTTTTTGTTGATCTTAATCACCTGCCTGAGATAGTGCATGCCAGGTTTCTCCAATGGAAAGTTACTTCTCCTCCCCTTTCCGTATTTATACATCTTGGAAACAAGATACTTAATTTAAGGGTTGGGAAAATTAAAGTCCAACTCATTTAAATTTATTTATATTATTTACAATATTAAATTATTTGTAATTTTATATTATGTTATTTGTAATTTTAATCTTATTTATATTTTTTGTAATTTGTAATTTTTTATACAGGATTTTTGACAGGATGTTTTAAAACCATTTTTTAACTAACCTAGTCAGTGCAATTGTATTACCATTTTATGTGGTTCACATGATGTGATATTTCTGTTAGAGGCACTTTGAGATTACCTCATTTGATACAAGATACAGCGCACACTGCTAAAACATAGAAAACATAAAATAGATACCAGTGTTCTGTATAAGTGTGCTGGTAATGAATACATTTTTTAACAGAAAATGTTACGTTCTTGATCATCATGTATCATATATCATATGTAACTATGAGGTTGTGGTGCTGAAGTCTGAAACCACAAAATAAGTATTATTCTACCTATATTTCTGGTAGAATAATTAGCATTCTTTGTCAATGAAAGTGTCTTTGCAATTGAAGCTTTCTTTTTAAGCTTTATTCTGTTTTTGAAAAAAAAGTT
The DNA here is from genome assembly GCF_000001405.40 of Homo sapiens. Classification (NCBI taxonomy): domain Eukaryota; kingdom Metazoa; phylum Chordata; class Mammalia; order Primates; family Hominidae; genus Homo; species Homo sapiens. The sequence goes on along the minus strand of NC_000023.11, from coordinate 88,199,947 downwards.
TTCATTTACAGCATGTGGTTTTTAACCTCAGAACTGACGTTAACACCATTAAGCATTGCAAACCAAATGCAATTTAGCCCAAAATTTTGATAGTAGGTATCATTACATTAGAGGATGTAAATAACAATCAGGAAGGCTCATCTATAGTAATAATAAAAAATGTTAGAAATATTTGGAGTCGATTTTTCTTCCTATAATAACAATGGGATACACTATCTGCGTCACTTTGCATAAAGGAAGCATATTTGATGCCTTTAGCAAGGAAATAGCTTTGTTGGCTTATAAATCAATAATATGAATGATTAAAGTAACAAGGAAAACAGCAATTTCTTTAGTGGCCGCATATTTCGAGTGTTAAATTCTCCGTTAAGACCAAAGAAAAATAAATGAACACAACTTCTATGAGCAATTTAGGTTATATACAATAAAAATGTTTGTGCACAGAGCACTTGATTGTAACGGGTTACTGTGGGATAAAGTAGGGTGTCCTACATGTGTCTAATAAGATAATCTGCCATGTTAGTTCTGTGGAAACTTTCTATTACATTTTTTTCTCAGCATACTGTCTTTATCTTCATTATTTCCTTTCTTTTTAAATTTTTGATTTTTTTTATTTCAATACCTTATGGGGTACAAGTGGTTTTTGGTTACATGAATGAATTGTATGGTGATAAAGTCTGAGATTTTACTGCACCCATCATCTGAGTAGTGTACATTGTATCCAATATGAGGTTTTCATCCCTCACCCTCTCCTTCCTCCCCACACCTGAGTCTCCGAAGTTCATTATACCACTCTATGTCTTTGTGTATGCACAGCTTAGCTCCCACTTATAAGAGAGAACATAAAGTATTTGGTTTTCCATTCCTGATTACCTCACTAAGGACAATGGCCTTCAGTTCCATCCAAGTTACTGCAAAAGATATTATTTCATTCCTTTTAATGGCTAAATAGTATTCCATGGTGTGTGTGTGTGTGCATATATATAATATTTTCTTTATCTACTTATCGGTCAATGGGAACTTATGTTGGTTATATATCTGCAATTGTGAATTTTGTTGCAATAAACATATGCATGCAGGTGTCTTTTTGCTATAATGACTTCTATTCCTTTGGGTAGAGATCCGGTAGTGAGATTGCTGGATTGAATGGTAGATCAACTTTTAGTTCTTTAAGAACTCTCCATACTGTTTTCCATAGAGGTTGTACTAATTTACATTCCCACAAGCAGTTTATAAGCATTCTCTTTTCACCACGTCCACTCCAACATCTATTGTTTTTTGACTTTTTAATAGTGGCCATTCTGGCTAGGGTAAGGCGGTATCTCATTGTGGTTTTAATTTGCATTTCCCTGATGATTAGTGATGTTGAGCAATTTTTTAATATATTCATTACCCATTTATATATCTTTTTTTGAGAAATGTCTATTCATATCATTTGCCAACCTCCTCATGTGATTTTTTTTCTGAGTCTTTTGTAGATTCCGGATATTAGTCCTTTGTCAGATGCATAGTTTGCAAATATTTTATCCCATTATTTGAGTTGTCTGTTTACTCTGATGATTTTTCTTTTGTTATGCACAAGCTTTTTAGTTAAATTAGGTACCATTCATTCATTTTTGTTTTTTGTTGCATTTGCTTTTGGGGTCTTCATCATAAATTCTATGCCTAGGCTGATGTCTAAAAGAATTTTTCCAAAGTTGTCTTCTAGAATTTATATAGTTTCACCTCTTATATTTAAGTATTTAATCAATCTTGAGGTAATTATTTTATAAGGTGAGAGATAATGATCCATTTTCATTCTTCTACATGTGGCTATCCAGTTTTCCCAGCACCATTTGTATAATAAGGTGTCATTTCCCCAATTTATGTTTTTCTATGCTGTATCTAAGAACAGTTGGTAGTGAGTGTTTGGGTTTATTTATGGGTTCTCTGTTCTGTTTTATTGGTCTATGCATCTCCTTTTATACCAGTAAAATGCTGGCTTTGTAACTGTAGCCTTGTAGTGTAATTTGAAATCAGGTTTTGTGATACCTCCAAATTTGTTTTTTTGCTTAAGATTGGTTTCATTATTCACGCCCTTTTTTGGTTCCATTAGAATTTGGGGAATTTTTTTTTCTAATTCTGTGAAAAATGATGTCAGTGTTTTAATAGGAAGTGTATTGAATCTATAAATTGCTTTGTTTAGTATAGTCATTTTCATGATATTGATTATTTCAATTAACAAGCATGAGATGTGTTCGTATTTGTTTGTGTCATCTATAATTTCTTTCAGCAGAGTTTTGCAGTTCTCCTTGTAGAGATCTTTCACCTCCTTGGTTACATATATTCCTAGGTTATTATTTATTTATTTTTTGCAGCTATTGTAACAAGGATTGAGTTATTGACTTGATTCTCACCCTGGTCATTGTTGGTGTATAGTAGTACTACTGATTTAGGTACATTGATTTTGTATTCTGAGACTTTCCTGAATTCGTTTATGTAATCTAGGAGTCTTTTGGGGGAATTTCTATGGGTTTCTAGGTATACAATTATCAGCAAACAGTGGTAGCTTGATTCCCTCTTTTCCAATCTGGATGCCCTTTATTTCTTTCTCTTGCCTGATTGCTCTGGCTAGGACTTCCAGTACTATGCTGAATAGAAATGGTGAAAGAGGACATCCTTGTCTTTTTCCAGTTCACAAGGGGAATCCTTTTAACTTTACCCCATTCAGTATGATGTTAGCTGTGAGTTTGTCATATATGGCTTTTAATATTTTGAGGTGTGCCCCCTTTACGCCTATTTTGTTGAGGGTGTTTATTATAAAAAATGTTGGATTTTATCGAATGCTCTTTCTGCACCTATTGAGATGATCATACGTTTTTTGTTTATAATTCTGGTTATGTGAAGTATCATTTTCATTGACTTATATATGTTAAACTACCCCTCCATCTCTGGGATGAAACCCACTTGATCAAGGTGTGTTAGTTTTTTTGATGTGCTTTTGGATTCAGTTAGCTACTATTTTATTGAGAATTTTTGCCTCTATGTTCATTAGGGTATTGGTCTGTAGTTTTCTTTTTTCATTATATCCTTTCCTGATTTTGGTATCAGAGTGATACTGGCTTCAAAGAATTAGTTTGGGAAGAATACATCTTTCTCAATGTTTTGGAATGGTTTCAGTAAGATTTGTACCAATTCTTCTTTAAATATCTGGTACAATTCAGCTGTGAATCCATCTGCCTGTGGGCTTTTTTTGTTGTTGGCATTTTTTTATTATTATTGATTTGATCTTGCTACTTGTTGTTTGTCTATTCAAGATTTATATTTCTTCCTGATGCATTCTAGGAGGGTTGTATGTTTATATGAATTTATTCATTTCTTCTAGATTTCCTAGTATGTGTGCATAGAGGTTTTCATAGTAGACTCGAATAACCTTTTCTATTTCTGTGGTGTCAGTTGTAACGTCTCTATTTTTATTTCTAACTGAGATTATTTGAATCTTCTGTCTTCTTGTTGCATCTAGCTGATGGTCTATTAATTGTGTTTAACTTTTCCAAGAACAAACTTTTCATTTCATTAATTTTCATATTTTTGTTTTAATTTTATTTAGTTCTGCTCTGATTTTTGTATTTCTTTTATTTTGCTAGCTTTGTTTGTTCATGTTTCTCTTTCTATAAGATGTGAAATTAAGTTGTCAATTTTTTATCTTTCGGGCTTTTTGGCATAGGCATTTAGCACTATAAAATTTCCTCTTAGCACCGCTATTGCTGTATCTCAAAGGAGATAACTTATGTCACTATTATCATTATCATTCCTTTCAAAGAATCTTTTAATTTCCATCCTGACTTCATTGTTAACATCAAAACCATTCAGGAACATATATTTTAATTTTAATGTATTCGCATAATTTAGAAGCTTTTTTTATAAAGTTGATTTCTAGTTTTACTCCATTGTGGTCTGAGGAGATATTTGATATAATTTTGATAGTTTTAAATTTATTGAGTCTTGTTTTGTGGCCTACCATATGATTAGTCTTGGAGAATGTTGCATGTGCTGACGATAAAAATATATATTCTGCAATTCCTTAGAAGAATGTTGTGTAAACATGTTAGGCCCATTTAGTTTAAGTCCATTGTTTCTTTGCTGACCTTCTGCCTCAATAATCTGTCCAGTGCTGTCAGTGGAGCATTGAAGTCCTCCACTATTATTGCATTGCTGTCTGTCTCATTTCTTAAATCTAGTACTAATTATTTTTTAAATCTGGAAACTCCAGAATTAGGTGAATATATATTTAAGATTGTAATATCTTTATGTTAAATTGCTCATCTTATTATTATATAATAACCTTCTTTGTCTTTTTTTATTGTTGTTGCTTTAAAGTCTGTTTTATCTGATATAAGAATGGCTACTCTTTCTCACTTTTGGTTTCCATTTGCCTGGAATATCATTTTCTGTTCCTTCACTTTGACTCTATAAGAATCTTACATGTTAAATGAATCTCATGGAGACAACAGGTACTTATTTTGGGATATTTTTATCCACTCTGACAATCTGTTTCTTGAGATGTGAGGTACTATTACAGTTATCATATTAACTATTACCTAGATGCTTTATTTTCCTCATTGTGTTACTGATTTATAGGCTCTGTGAGCTTTGTGTATTCAAGAGTTTCTATGTATATCAACATTTTGTTTCAAAATTTAGAAGTCCTTTCAACATTTATTGAAGGATTGTTCTGGTATTGACAAATTCTCTCAGGATTTGCTTGTCTGGAAATGACTTTTTTCTTCTTCATTGATGAAACTTAGTTTATCTAGATACAAAATTTTTGACTGGTAGCTATTTGTGTTTAAAGAGGCTAAAGATAGAATGCCGATAACCTCTGGCTTCTAAGGTTTCTGCTGAGAAGTCTGTGTTTGTCTGATAGGTTTTTATCTGTAGGTTACCTGATGCTTTTGTCTCACTGCTCTTAGAATTCAGTCCTTCACGTTGGTTTTAGATATCCTGGTTACTATATGCCTTGTTGATGTCCTTTTTGCAATGAATCTCCCCGGAGTTCTTTGAGTCCATCCTGGTTACTATATGCCTTGTTGATGTCCTTTTTGCAATGAATCTCCCAGGAGTTCTTTGAATCCCTTGTATTTGGATATCTAAACCTTTAGCAAATCCAGGGAAGTTTTCCTCAATTATTGCCTTAAATAAGGTATTCAATTTTTTTTTCTTTCTCTTCTCCTTCAAAAACACTAATGATTCTCAGGTTTGGCTATTTTACGTAATCCTATATGTCTTTGAAATTTTGTTCATTTCTTTTGATTCTTATTTGTTTGTTTTTGTCTGATAGGGTTAGTTTGGAAACCTTCTCTTCAAGATCTGAAATTCTTTTTTTACCTTGGTCTTGTCTATTGTTAAAACTTGAGACTGCATTGTGTAATGCCCAGAATAGGTCTTTCATCTCCAGAAGTTCTGACTGGCTTTTCTTTAAAATACCAATCTCCTCATAAATTTTTCGTTCATATCCTGAACTGTTTTATAATTTATTTATGTTGCTTATTTCACTAAACATAATAATCTCCAGTTCCCTCTATGTTGTTGTGAATGACTGAATTTCATTCTTTTTTATAGCTGAATAGTACTTTATTGTGTGTAAGTGCCACATTTTCTTTATCCATTCATCTGTTCATGGACACTTAGGTTGCTTCCAAATCCTGGCTCTTGTGAACAGAGCTGCAACAAACATGGAAGTGCAGATATCTCTTCCATATACTAATTTTCCTTCTTTTGGAAGTATCCTCAGCAGTTGGATTGCTGGATCTTATTGTAGCTCTATTTTTAGTTTTTGGAGGACCTTCTAAAGTGTTCTCCATAGAGGTTGCACTAATGTACATTTCTACAGTGTACAAGGGTTACCTATTCTCCACATCTTTGACAGCATTTGTTATTGCCTATCTTTTGGATATAAGCCATTGTAACTGGGGTGAAATAATATCTCATTGTAGCTTTGATTTGAATTTATCTGCTGATTGATGATGTTATGCACCATTTCATATGTTTGTTTGCCCTTTGTATGTCTTCTTTTAAGAAATGTCAATTCAAATGTTCTGGAAATTTTTAAACCAGATTATTAGATTAATTCATATAAAGTTGTTTGAGCTTCTTATATATTCTAGATATTAATTTATTGTCATATGGTTAGGTTGAGAATATTTTATCTTCTATTGTGTGGGTTGTCTCTTCACTTTGTTGATTCTTTGCTTGGCTGTGCAGAAGTTTTTTAAATTGATGGGATCTTATTTTTCCATTGCTGCTTTTGTTGCCTAAGCTTGTAGGGTATTACTCAAAAAATCTTTGTCCAGACTAATGTTTTGGAGACTTTTCAGAAAAGTTTTTGTAGTAGTTTCATAGTTTTCAATATTAGGTTTAATGCTTTAATTCAATTTGATTTAATTTTTGTATATAGTGTGAGATAGGAGTCCAGTTTCATTCTTGTGCACATAAATATCCAGTTTGTCCAGTACCATTTATTGAAGAGGCTCTCTTTCCCCGAGTGTATTTTCTTGGCACCTTTGTCAAAAGTGAGTTCACTGTAGGGGTGTGGATTTGCTTTTGGGTTCTCTATTCTGTTCTATGGTTCTATGTTTCTCTTTTTATGCCAGTACCATGCTGTTTTGCTTACTATAGCTCTGTAGTATCATGTGAAGTCAGGTAATGTGATTCCTCCAGTTTTGTTCAATTTGCTTAGGAGAGCTTTGGCTGTTCTAGGTCTTTTGTTCTTCCACGTAAATTTTAGGGTAGTGTTTTCTATTTCTGTGAAGAATATCACTGGTATTTTAATAGAAATTGCTTTGAATTTGTAGCTTGCTCTGGGTAGTATAGACATTTTAACAATATTGATTCTTACAATCCTTGAACATGGAATATCTTTCCTTTTATGTTTCCTCTTCAAATACTTTCAACAGTGTTTCATAGTTTTCATTTTAGAGATCTTTCACTTCTTTGGCTAAGTTGATTTCTAGGTATTTGATCTTATTTATTGCTATTGTACATAAAATTAATTTTTTATTTCTTCTTCAAATTGTTCACTGTTGTCATATGGAAATGCTACTGATTTTTGAATGTTGATATTGTATCTTACAATTTTACTGAAAGTATTTGGCACTTCCAATAATTTTTGTGGAGTCTTTTAAGTTTTCCAAAATATAAAATTATATCATCTGTAAACAAAAATAATTTTACTTCTTTCTTTTCAATTTCAATGTCCTTTATTTATTTCTGTTTTCTGATTGATCTACCTGGGACTTCCAGTATTAAGTTGAATAACAGTGGTGAAACTGGGCACCCTTGTCATACTCAAGATATTAGAGGAACGGTTTCAGCTTCCCCTCCCATCCAGTGTGATACAAGCTGTGGGTCTGTCATATACAGCTTTTATTATTTTGAGGTATGTCACTTCTATACCCAGCTTTTTGTGGTTTTTATTATCAAGAAATATTGACTTTTGTCAAATGCCTTTTCAACATTAATTGAAATGATCGTATAGTTTTTGTCCTTCATTTGTTTAGATGATGTATTATATATTGATTTGCATATATTGAATCATCTTGCATCCAGGGACAGATCCTACTCTGTCATAATGAATTTTTTCTTTTTTCTTTTTTTTTTTTTTTTTGAAATGGAGTCTCACTCTGTCACCCAGGCTGGAGTGCAGATGGCGTGGTCTTGGCTCACTGCAACCTCCCCCTCCCGGGTTCAAGTGATTCGCCCCCACCTCAGCCTCCCAAGTTGCTGGGACTACAGGCACGTGCCACCACGCCCAGCTAATTTTTGTACTTTTTTTGGTAGAGATGGGGTTTCACTATGTTGGCCAGGCTAGTCTCAAACTGCTGACCTCATGATCCACCCACCTCAGCCACCGAAAGTGCAGGGATTACAGGTGTGAGCCACCGTGCCCAGCCTGTCCTGATGAATAATCTTTTGAATGTATTGTTGAATTCTATTTACTGGTATTTTTTGGAGGATTTTTCTGTTAATATTCATCAGAAATATTGGCCTGTTGTTTTCTCTTTTTTGGATGTGTCTCTTTCCGGTTTTGGTAACTGGGTAATAGTGGCCTCATAGAATGAGTTTAGAAGTATTCTCTCTTCATCTATTTTTTTGGAATGGTTTGTATAGGATTAGTACTAGTTCTTCTTTAAGTATTTGTGGAATTCAGCAGTGACACCATCAGGTCCCGGGATTTTTTTATTTTTTATTTTTGAGAGTTTTTATTACAGCTTCAATCTTGTTACCTGTTATTGGTCTAGTCAGGTTTTAAATTTCTTCATAGTTCGATCTTGGAAGCTTGCGTGTATCTAGTAATATGTACATTTCTTCTAAATCTTCCTATTTATTGGCATATCATTGCTCATAGCGTACATCAATAATCCTTTGAATTTCTGTGATTTCAGTTGTAATGTTTTTTAATCTGTGATTTGATTTATTTGGGTCTTCTCTCTTTTTTTTAGTCTGGGTAAAAGTTCATCAGTTTTGTTTAACTCTTCAATTAAAAACAACATTTTTATTCATCTTTTTTCTTTATTTCAATTTCATTTATTTCTGCTGTGATCTTTATTATTTTTTCTCTTCACTATTTTGGGTTTGGTTTGCTCTTGCTTTTTTAGTTCTTTAAGATGCGTTGTTAGGTTGTTTAATCAAAGCTTACCCTCTTTTTTGATATAGGTACTTATAGCTATAAGATTCCCTCTTAGTACTGCTTTAGCTGCATCCCATATGTTTTGGTATGTTATATGTTCATTGTCATTTGTTTCTAGAAATTTTTCCATGTCCTTCTTAATCTGTTCATTGATCCTCTGGTCATTTAAGGAGCATATTGCTTAATTTCCATGTATTTGTATAGTTTTGAGAATTCTTCTTGTTATTAATTTCTAGTTTTATTCCATTGTAGTCAGAGAAGAGGTATGATAATATTTTAAGTTTTTTGAATGTTTGAAGTCTTATTTTGTGACCTAACATATGGTCTATGCTTGAGGACAATTCATGTGCTGAGGAAAAGAATGTGTGTCCTGCAGCCATTGGATGAAATGTTTTGTAAATATCTATTAGATCCATTTGATCTGCAGCACAGATTAAGTTTCATGTTTCTTTGTTGATTTTCTGTCTGAAAGATTTGTCTAATGCTTAAAGTGGAGTGTTATTGTCTGCAGCTATTATTGCATTGGAGTTTATGTCTCTCTTTAAATCTAACAACAGTTTCTTTATATCTCTTGGTGCTTCGGTGTTGGGTGCATATATATTTAAAGTTGTTATATCCTTTTGCACAATGTACCCTTTATCATCATATAGTGACCTTATTCGTCTCTTGTTATAGTTTTTGTCATAAAATATATTTTGTCTGATAAAAGTATAACTACTCCTTCTCTTCTCCTGTTTCCATTGGCATGGAATATCTGTTTTTATCCCTTTGTTTTCAGTCTATGTGAATCTTTAAAGACCCACATGTATGGGTCTTTTTTTTTCCATTTAGCAATCTTATGTCTTTTGATGGGAGAGGTTAGTCTATGATTGGAGAGGCTGGTCTATTCACATTAAATGTTAATATTGATGAGTAAGAACTTACTTCTGTCATTTTAGTACTTGTTTTCTGGTTGTTTTGTTGTCTTCTCTTCCTTCATTCTTTTTTTCCCATCTTTCTTTTAGTAAAGGTATTTCTCTCTGGTTATATGATTTAGTGTCTTGATTTTTACATTTTTGTGTATGATTTTTGGTTTCAGTTTACCATGAAGTTTGCAAATAGTATATTATAATCCATTTTATTTAAACTGGTAGCAATGTAACACTGTTTGCATAAACAAACGAACACACAAAAACTAATGAAAACTCTATGCATTAACTTTATCTTGCTGCTTTTTAACATTTTGTTGTTTCTATTTATATCTTATTGTACTGTCTGTCTTTAAAAGTTATTTTAGTTATTATTATTCCTTGATTATTTAGTCATTCTATTTAAAGTAAGAGTAATTTACACACCACAGTTACAATATTTTTCTGTGTATGTACTATTACCAGTGAATTGAACTTTCAGATGATATCTTATTGCTCATTAATGTCCTTTTCTTTCTGATTGAGGTATTCCCTTTAACATTTCCGTTAGGACAGGTCTGGTGTTGATGAAATTTCTCAACTTTTGTTTGGGAAAGTATTTATCCTTTATGCTTGAAGGTTGTTTTCATTGAATATACTATTCTAGGTTAAAAGTTTTATTCCTTTAGCACTTTAAATATGTCATACTACTCTCCTTTGGCCTGTAAGGTTTCCACTGGAAAGTCTGCTGCCAGATGTATTGAAGCTCCATTTTATTTTATTTGCTTCTTTTTTCTTGCTGTTTTTGGGATCCATTCTTCATTGGGAATTTGATTATTAAATGCCTTGAGGTAGTCTTTCAGTTAAATCTGCTTGGTGTTCTATAAACTTCTTGTACTTGGATATTGATATCTTTCTCTTTGTTTGGGACATTCTCTGTTACTATCCCTTTGAATACATGTTCTTCCCTATCTCTTTCTATACTTCCTTTTTCCAGACAATAACTCTAAAGTTTTCCCTTTTGAAGCTGTTTTCTAGATCTTGTTGTCATGCTTCATTTTCTTATATATTTTTTTCTTTTGCCTGTATTTTTAAGTAACATGTCTTCATGCTCACTAAATCATTCTTCTGCTTAATTCTGCTATCAAAAGAGTTTGGTGCATTCTTCAGTATGCCAATTGCATTTTTCAACTTCAGAATTTCTGTTTGATTCTTTTGATTATTTCAGTATCTTTATTAAATATATATCCTAGAATTCCAAATTCCTTCTCTGTGTTATCTTGAATTTTGGGGGATTTCCTGAAAACAGATATCTTGAACTCTTTGTCTGAAAGGTCATATATTCACATACCTCTGTTTCTACAGGATTGGTCCCTGGTGTCTTGTTTAGTTCATTTGGTGAGGTCATGTTTTCCTTGATGGTTTTGATACTTGTAGATGTTCATTGGTGTATTTATTGTAGTCTCCATAGGCTGGGCTTGTTTGTAGCCATCCTTCTTGGGAAGGCTTTTCATATATTCAAGACAACTTGGGTATTGTGATCTAAGCTGTATCTGCTTTAGGGTGGATACCAAGCCCTGTAAATGCTGTGGTTCTTGAAGTTGCCTAGAGGTACTGCCTTGATGGTCTTCGATAAGATCTCTGAGAATTATCTGGATTAAAAAGCAGAGACTCTTGTCCTTTCTTCTTAGTTTCTCCCAAACAAATGAAGTATCTCTCTCTCTAGTTTGAATCACCTGGAACTGAGTGTAGAGTGACACAAGCACCACTGTGACCACGACCTTTAGGACTACACTGGGTGAGACCCAAAGCCAGCACAGCACTAGGTCTTGCCCAAGGTCTGTCAAAACTCCCTGGTTACTGCCTATGTTTGCTCAAAGCCCTGGTGCAGTACAATCAGTAGATGGCAAAGCCAGCTGGTCCTGTTTCTCCTTTCAGAGTGGTAAGCTCCCGCTGGCTCTGCAGGGGTCCAGAGATGCCATCCAATAGCCAATAACTAGAGTAAAAAACTATAAATCTACCTGATGTTTTATTATACTTTAGTAGGGTTGACACTCAAACCACAAGACATAGTACTTTCCACTTTTTCTACCATTTCTAAAAGCAGAGGAGCCTCACCAGGTGGCCACCACCAACTCAGTCCCATGGGGAATAGTGCCAAACTACCACTGATATCCCCTCAAGGCCTAAAGGCTCTTTAGTCAGATTGTGTTGAATGCTGCCTGAAGAGGGACTCACTCTTCAGAGCGCTGCGATCTTCTTTGGCCCAGGGCAGATCCAGAAATGCCATTCAAGAGCCCAATCCTGGAATAAAGGAACAAAAGAGCCTCATTGGTGCTCTACACTTTTGTGACTGCACTGGTACCTAAGGTGAAAGACAAAGTACGCTTTACTTTTTCCTTTCCTTTTCTCAGGCAGAAGGAGTCTTACCCCATAACCACTACAGCTGGGAGTGTGCTGGGTATCACCTGAAGCCAGCAAGTCTCAGAGTCTTGCCCAAGTCCCTTAATCTATTTCCTGCATGTCACTGGTGATTATTCAGTTCCAAATGGCTCCTCAGTTAGCAGATGATAAATCTTACCAGGACTCGGTCCTTCCCTTTAAGGCAGCAACTTCTCCTTCCATCGAGTGTGTCTAGAAATGTCATCTGGAAGCTAGGTCCTGGAAAGTGGACTTCATGACACTGATTGATGCCCTATCCTGCTGTGTTGAAGCTGATATCCAAGATGCAAGACAAAGTTTTCCCCACTCTTCCATTTCCTCTCCTCACGCAGAGGGAAGGGTTCACTTTTGGAGCCACCCGCTCTGCAGCCTGGTGTTAGGAGACGGGTAATACCAGCACTTTCTGAGCTGCCCCGGCTGATGTCTCATTAGATTGCACGCCCCTCAGTCCATTGTCTCTAGGACCAGTTCAGCACTACGACTTATGTGAGTGTTGCAGTCCTTGTGGCCTAGACTGCCTTTCAAGTTTATTAGGGCTTCAGAGCACTTTATCCCTCAGTGGTGAGGGTTGTGGGAACTCAAGTTCTGACCATCGAGATAGGCAATTCCCATCTGGCTAGGTCTAGTTCAAATGCTCTCTCCTTAGACAGGTGTCAGGTGAGTTTTGTCTGGTTTTTCCTTTCTGTTATAACAAGGGCATCACCGAGTTCATTGCCACACAATTGCTGGCTCTTCCTCCCCCAGCACACAGAAATGTTCTCTGCACCATGCTGCTACTGCTGGGGGATGAGAAGTGGCGTCAGTGATTCAAGACTGTTTTTCCCACCTCTTCAGTCTCTTTTTCAGGAATATAAAGATAAAATCAAGTACTGTGAGTACTCACATGATTTTTGCGTCTTACAAACGTGCTTTTTTGTGTAGATAGTTGTTAAATAGGTGTCATTGTTGGGGAAACAATTGATAGTGCCTTCTATTCTGCCATCTTGCTCCACACTTTTTTCTAATTATTCTTATATTTGTATTTGATTTGACTAGGTTTTTTAGATTTTTTTTCCCTTAAGGTTGTGACTTTAATGTTTATGGTTTATTGTAGCATATTTGGCTTTCACTGCTTTCAGATGCTGTATAGGTTTCTGGGTTATAGGGAGTCTTCTATGATGGCTTTCTTAGATGGTGGTTGTAGTAGTGATGTGTTCAATGTGTGAGCAACTTTACTACCTCCTGTAGGGTTAGAATAGCAGAGGTCTTATCAAGCTTGTCTCATTCCCCAATGGTGTGCACTTATTTATTTATTTTTTATCCTTTCACATTATTTTATTTACTGGATTGAATAATTCATGCTTCAGGCTAGTAGGGGAGATGTCCATGGGTAAAAACTGGTCGTGCCTAAAGAAGGTGGGTAAATGCAATGCCCAATCGTGGGCAGAGGTCTCAGCCTTGACAGAGGCTGCTTGGGGAGTTCTCAGCGAAACACAATGAGATTTATCAGTGGGAATGGTGGCAGGTATGAGAAAGCAAGCAAGAGCAGAGAAAACTGCTTTATAAAACCATCAGATTTTGTGAGAGCTCACTCACTATCACTCAAACAACATGGAGTAAAATGCTTCCATGATTCAGTCACCTCCTATCTGGTCCCTGCCTCAGCACATGGGGACTATGGGGATTACAACTGAAGATGAGATTTAGGTGGGCACACGGAGCCAAACCATATCATTTCACTCCTGGCCCCTCCCAAATCTCACATTCTCACATTTCAAAAACCAATTATGCCTTCCCAACAGTCCCCCAAAGTCTTAACTAATTTCAGCATTAACTCAAAAGTCCACAGTCCAAAGTCTCATCTGAGACAAGAAAAGTCTCTTTCACCTATGAGCCTGTAAAATAAAAAACAAATTAGTTCCATCCAAGATACAATGTGGGTACAGGCATTGGGTAAATACACCTGTTTTAAATGGGAGAACTTGGCCAGGATAAAGGGGTACAGGCTCTATGCAAGTCCAAAATCCAGCAGGGAAGTCATTAAATCTTAAATCTCCAAAATAATCTCCTTTGATTTCATGTCTCATATATCCAGGTCACACTGAGGCAAGAGGTGGAGTCCCATGGTCTTGGGCACCTCCATCCCCGTGACTCTGCAGGGTGAAACACCCATGGCTGCTTTCATGTGTTAGCATTGAGTGTCAATGGCTTTTACAACTCCACAGTGCAAGCTATCGATGCCTGCAACCCATTCTGGGGTCTGAAGGATAATGGCCCTCTTCACAGCCCCACTAGTAAGTGCCCCACTGGGGACTCTGTGTGGGGGCTCCAACCCACATTTTCCTTCTGCACTGCCTTAGCAGAGGTTCTCCATGAGGGCCCTGTTCCTGCAGCAGACCTCTGTTTGGACATCCAAGCATATCCATACAGCCTCTGATCTAGACAGAGGTTCCCCAAACTTAAATTACTGACTTTTGTGCACCCACAGGCCCAACACAATGTGGAAACCACCAAAGCTTGGGGCTTGCACTCTCTAAAACAATGGCTTGAGCTGTATGTTGGCCACTTTTAGCAATGGCTGGAAGACAGGGCACCAAGTTCCAAGACTGCACAAAGCATCAAGGCCCTGGGCCCAGCTCATGAAACCATTTTTTTTCTTCTAGGCCTCTGGGCCTGTGATGAGAAGGCCTGCCTTGAAAACCTCTGACATGCCCTAGAGACATTTTCTTTATTGTCTTTGTGATTAACATTTGGTTCCTCATTACTTATGCAAATTTCTGCAGCTGATTTAAATTTTTTCCCAGAAAATGGGTTTTTCTTTTCTATTGCATCATCAAGCTGCAAACTTTTCAAACTTTTTAGGCTCTGCTTCCGTTTTAAACATAAATCCCAATTTCAGATAATTTCTCTCAAGTTCAAAGTTCCACAGATCTCTAGGGCAGGGACAAAATGCTGTCAGTCTCTTTGCTAAAGCGTAGCAAGAATGACCTTTGTTCCAGTTCCCAGTAAGTTTCTTATCTCCATCTGAGACCACCTTAGCGTGGATTCATTTGTCCATATCACTATCAGCATTTTGGTGAAAACCATTCAATAAATCTCTGGGAAGATTCAAAGTTTCCCACATCTTCTGTCTTCTCTGAGCCTTCCAAACTGTTTTAACCTTGGCCTGTTACCCAGTTCCAAAGTTGCTTCCACATTTCCAAGTACCTTTATAGCAGTACCCCACTCTCTGTGGTATCAATTTACTGTATTAGTCCATGTTTACACTGCTGTAAAGACATACTAAAGACTGGGTAATTCATAAAGAAAAGAAGTTTAACTGACTTACAGTTCCACATGGCTGGGAAGTCCTCAGGAAACTTGCAATCATGGCAGAAAGGAAAGATGCATGTCTTACATGGCAGCAGGTAAAAGAGAAAGAGCAAAAGCAGGGAAAACTGACTTACAAAACCATCAGATCTCATGAGAACTCACTCATTATCACAAGAACAGCCTGAGGGAATATGCCATGGTGACGTATAAATTGAGTGCATTGTTTTTCAAATAAAAATTATCAGAAAAAGCCAGGCGTGATGGCTCATGCCTGTAATACCAGCACTTTGGGAGGCCGAGACAGGCGGATCACGAGGTCAGGAGATCAAGACCATCCTGGCTAACACGGTGAAACCCCGTCTCTACTTAAAATACAAAAAATTAGCCAGGCGTGGTGGTGGGCACCTGTCGTCCCAGCTACTCGGGAGGCTGAGGGAGGAGAATGGCGTGAACCCAGGAGGCAGAGCTTGCAGTGAGCCGAGATCACACCCCTGCACTCCAGCCTGAGCGACAGAGCGAGACTCTAAAAAAAAAAAAAAAAAGCTAAGCATCCAAAGAACATACAGCAAAATAGTAAGAGCAATCTATGACAAACCCACAGCCAACATAACACTGAAGAAGAAAAAGCTGGAAGGATTATTTTCTCACCAATCCTATTCAACATAGCAGTGCAAATTCTATTCAGAGAAATCAAGCAAGATAAATAAATAAAAGACATCCAAATTTAAAAAAAAGTCAAACTATCCTCTTCTCAGATGATATAATTCTGTACCTAGAAAACCACATAGTATTTGCCCAAAGGTTTCTAAAAGTGATAAACAATTTCAATAAAGTTTCAGGATACAAAATTAATTTACAAAAATAATAGCATTTTCTATACCCCCATAATGTCCAAGCTGAGAGTCAAATCAAGAATACAATTCTACTCCCAATAGCCAAAAAAACAACAAAATATCTAGGAATACAACTAACCTGGGGGGTAAAAGATCTCTACAATAAGAATTTAAAAAAACAATGCTGAAAGATGATGTGTCACATTGTTGTGATGACACAAACAAATGGCAAAACATTTTATGCTCATGGATAGAAAGAATCAGTATTGTTAAAGTGGCCATACTATCCAAGCAGTTTACATATTTGGCGCTACTTATATCAAACTACTAATGATATTTTTCACAGAATTCAAAACATATTCTAAAATTTATATGGGACCAAAAAACAGCCCCAATAACCAAAGCAATTCTAAGCAAAAAGAACAAAGCCAGAGTCATAACATTACCTGACTCAAAACTATACTATGAGGCTAAAATAACCAAAACAGCATGGTACTATACAAAAACAGACACACAGAGCAACAGAACAATATAGAGAACACGGAAATAAAGCTTCACACTGACAACCATCTGGTCTTTGGTAAAGCCAACAGCAAGAAGCAATGAAGAAAGGACTTTCTATTTAATATATGGTGTTGAGATAACTGACTAAAATTACACAACAGATTGAAGCTGAGACCATTTGTTTCACCATATGCGAAACTCAACTCAAGATGGATTACAGACTTAAATGTACAACCTAAAACTATAAAAATCCTAAAAGAAAACTTAGGAAATACAATTCTGAACATTGGTCCTGGCAAATATATCATGACAAAGACTCCAAAATCAATTGTAACAAAAACAAAAATTGACAATTGAGATGAAGTTAACCAAAAGAGCTTCTGCACAGTGAAATAAAATATCGGCAAAGTAAACAGGCATCCTAAAGAATGGGAAAAAAATTTGCAAGCTATGCATCCCAAGATGGTCTAATATCCACAATCTATAAGTAACTTAAAAAAGCGAACAGATTGGCCAGGTGCAGTGGCTCATGCCTGTAATTTCAGCACTTTGGGAGGCCAAATCAGGTGGATCACCTGAGGTCAGGAGTTTGAGACCAACCTGGCCATCACGTGAAACTCCATCTCTACTATAAATACAAAAATCAGCTGGGCATGGTAGTGCACGCCTGTAGTCCCAACTACTCGGGAGGCTGAGGCAGGAGAATCACTTCAACCTGGGAGTCGGAGACCGCAGTGAGCCAAGATCGCACCACTGCACTTCAGCCTGGGCAATGGAGTGAGATTCTGTCTCAAAAAGAAAAAAAAAAAAAGAAAAACAAAAAAGAAACGAACAGGCAAAACATCAACAATCCATTAAAAAATGGACAGAGAACATAAACTTCTCAAAGAAGACATACACATGGCCAACAGCAAACAAGCATATGAAGAAAGGCTCCACATCAGTAATTATTAGAGAAATGCAAATCAAAACCACAATAAGACACCATCTCACACTGGTCAGGATGGCTATTATTAAAACGTCACAAAATAACTGTTGCTGGAGAGATCGCAGAGAAAAGGGAACACATATACACTGCTGGTGGGAATATAAATTAATCACTGTGGAAAACAGTTTGGAGGTTTCACAAAGAATTTATAACACAATTACTATTCTACCCAGCCATCTCATTACTGTATATACCCAAAGGGATATTAATTGTTCTATCATAAAGACAAATGCTCATGTATGTTCATTGCAGCACTATTCACATTAGCAAAGACATGAAATGAATCTAGATGTCCATCAATAGTAGACTGAATAAAGAAAATATGTCACATATATACCATGGAGTACCATGCAGCCATTAAAAGGAATGAAATCATGTCCTTTGCAGCAACATGGATGGAACTGGAGGCCATTATCCTAAGTGAATTAATGCAGGAACAGAAACCCAAATACTGCATGTTATCACTTATATGTTGGCACTAAACATTAAGTACACATAGATACAAAGAAGGGAACAATAGACACCAGGTCCTACTATAGAGTGGGGGGTGGGAACAATATGAGGAAAGAAAAACTAGTTGTCAATCACTATGGTCATTACTTGGTGACAAAAGAATCTGCACACCAAACCCCTATGACATGAAAATTACCCATGTAGCTAACCTGCACATGTATGCTCTGAACCTAAAATGAAATTTGGAAATAAAAAAGGCAAGAGAACATGGGTCAATCTCTTTCCTGTAACAGACTTAAATATAAGTTAATTCAGTAAAGTATTTGCCTATTTAAGGTATGTTGTATTTTTAAATATACAGTTTTGCAACACTAAATACATCTTTCAATTGGTAAAAGCTCAGTTAACATCTAAGAATTTACCCCTATGTTTTTTTCTATGAAGCATGTTATTTTTCCCCTTTATATATCCTGGCCCATTCCTGAAATATCCGAGACTGACACTTATTTCCAGGACCAAATTCAGCTGACACCTGCCCACAGAATAAGCATTTAAACCAGTCCTAACCAGAGGGCAATCACCAATCCTAGCAGTCAGAACTTGAGTTCCCACAAAACTTGCCACCACGGCTAAAGTATTCTGGGTCTTTAAGTAAACTTGAAAGACAGTCTGGACCAGAAGGACTGCGATCCTTAGGCAAGTCCCAGTGCTGAACTGGGCCCAAAGAAAGTAGACTGGGGTGTCATGTGATCTACTTAGACACCAGCTGGAGCAGCTAAAGGAGTGTGGGCATTCCTCCACCCCTATTCCAGCACAACTCACAGCTCCAAAACAGTTCTGTATCTTCCACTTGAGGAGAGGAGGCGAAAAAGTGAGAACAGTGTCTTTCATCTTGTATAGCAGCTCAGCCATAGCAGGATAAGGCACCGGTCAGTCATGAGATCCCCATTCAAGGCCTTAGTTCCTGGGTGACATTTCTAGACACATCCCAGGCCAGAAAGGAACTGGCTGCTTTGAAGGGAAGAAACCAGTCCTGGCAGCATTGATCACTTGCTAACTAAAGAACCCTTGGGCCCTGAATAACCAGCAGCAATAACCAGGTTGTATGTTGAGGGCCTTGAGTGAACCTCTGAGACCACCTAACTTCAGGTACCAGCTCAGCAACAGGTGTGTAGAGTACGAAGCAGGTTCCTGGGGTCCCTAATTCCAGAAACTGACTCTTAGATGGTATTTCTGGACCTCTCCTGAGCCCCAGGGGAGCCCACTGCCCTGAGGGGTGATTCCCAAGCAAGGCAGCCTTTACTACAAGCTGACTTAATAGCCCTTGGGCCTTAAAGGAACATTGGTGCCAGCCTGGCAGTACTCCCCATGGGTCGGTGGTGGCATTGACCATGGGGTAAGCCTCCTCTGCATTTGGAAAGTGAAGGGAAGAGAGGAAAGAACTACAACTTGTGGTTTGAGGGCCAGCTCTGCTGCAATACAATGGAACACCAAGTAGATGTCTAAGGTTTTGGACTTTAATCCCTGACTCTCAGATGAAAACTCTGGAGTCACCCAGGGCCTGAGGGAATTTACCACCCTGAATGAAGTACACAAGACTGGCTGGCTTTGCCACCTGCTGATTGTAGAGCCTCAGAGCATTGAGAAAAAAAACATAGGCTGTGGCCAGGGAGTGGTTACAAGCAAGACCATGTGCTGTGCTGCCTTCAGGTCTGACCCAGTACAGTGTTAGAAGTGGTGGCCAAAGAGCTCCTTGTGTCATTTGTCCTCCAGCTTTAGGTCTCTCAGAACTAAGAGACAGATTCCATTTGTTTGGGAGAAAATAAGGGAGAAGAAAAAGTCTCTGCCTGGTAATCCAGAAAAATCTCCTGTGTCTTGGACAAGATCATCAAGGCAGTACCTCTACAAGCCCTAAGATCCATAGCCTTACTGGGCTTAGGGTGCCGTCTAAAGCAAATATAGCTTAGATCACAACACCCAAGTGATTTTGTATATATGCAAAGCCTTCCCAAAAAGGACAGGTACAAACAAGCCCAGACAGTGAAGACTATAATAATACCTAACTCTTCAATGCCAGACACAGAGGAACATCTACAAGTATCAAGATAATTCAGAAAAAATGTAACCTCACCAAAAGAACTAAATAAGACATCAGGGACCAATCCTGGAAAAACAGAGATATGTAATCATTGAGACAT
Source organism: Homo sapiens (assembly GCF_000001405.40). Taxonomy (NCBI): domain Eukaryota; kingdom Metazoa; phylum Chordata; class Mammalia; order Primates; family Hominidae; genus Homo; species Homo sapiens. Next base: position 88,179,683 of record NC_000023.11, on the reverse strand, counting down.
AAAATTCAAAATAGCTATTTTGAGGAAAATTTAAGAAATTCAAGATAACAAAGAGGAGGAATTCAGAATTCCAGCACATATATTTAACAGAGAAATTAAAACAAAAGCAATCAAGTAAAAATTCTGCAGCTGAAAAATTCAATAGGCATACTAAATACTGTAAGAGAGTCCGTTGGTAACATAAGTGATCAAGCAGAAGAAATAATTAGTGAGCTTGAAGTAGGGATATTTGAAAATACAAAATCAGAGGAGACAGAAGAAAAAAAGAATTAAAGAAAAACAATGAAACACACAGCACCTAGAAAATTGCCTCAAAAGGGCAAATCTAAAAGTTATTGGCCTTAAAGAGGAAGGAGAGAAAGAGACGGGGTAGAAAGTTTATTTAAAGGGATAATAACAAAGAACTTTCAAAACTTAGAAGAAGATATCAATATTGAAGTACAAGAAGGTGAGAGAATACTAAGCAGACTAATAAAAAAAGACTATCTCAAGGCATTTAATAATCAAACTCCCCAAAATGAAGGATAAAGAATCATAAGCAAAAGGAGAAAAGAAACAAATTACATCAAGTGGAGCTTCAATACTTCTGGTAGCAGATTTTTCAGTGAAAACCTTACAAGCCAGAAGTGAGTGATGTGACATATTTAAAGTGGTAAATTAAAAAACAAGGAACAAAAGCAAAAAACATTTACCCTATAATAGTACATCCCGAGAAAATACCCTTCAAATATTCAGTAGAAATACTTTCCCAGACAAACAAAAGCTGAGGGATTTTATCAACACCAGACCTGTCCTACAAGAAATGAAAAAGGGAGTACTTCAATCAGAAAGAAAAGGATGTTAATTAGCAATAATCACCTCGAGGTATAAAACCCACTGGTAATAGTAAGTACACAGAGAAACACAGAATATTATAACGCTGTAACTGTGGTATGTAAACTACTCTTACTTTAAATAGGAAGACTAAATGATTAATCAATAAAAAATAGCTAAAACAACTTTTAAAGACATAGCAAAATAAGATGTTACTAGAAAAAACAGAATGTTGAAAAGCAGGGTGACAAAGTTAATGCATAGAGTTTTCATTAGTTTTGTTTTTGCTTGTTTGTTTATGCAAATAATGTTACGTTGCTATCACCTCAGCATAATGGATTAGAAGATAGTATTTGCAAGCCTCATAGTAACATCAAACCAAAAAAACATGCAACAGATACACACACACAAAAGCAAGAAACTAAGTTATATTACCAGAGAAAATTACCTTCATTAAAGGAAGACAGGAAGGAAAAAAAGATGGAAGAGAAGACCACTAAACAACCAGAAAAACAAACAAACAAACAAACAAAAACCAAAATGTCAAGAGTAAGTTTTCACTTATCAGTAATAACATTGAATGTAAATAGACTAACCTCTCTAACTAAAGACATTACTGTATAAATTTACCAACTGATCTGTTGCCTACAAGAAATACACATCACCTAGAAAGACACGTATAAACTGAAAATAAAGAAATGGAAATAGATACTCCATGTTAATGGAAACCAATAAAGAGTAGGAATTGCTATACTTATATCAGATAAAATAGATTTCAAGACCAAAACTATTAGAAGAGACAAAAAGAGTCACTATATAGTGATAAAGTGGTCAATACAACAAGGTGATATAACAATTTTATGTATATATGCACAAACACTGGAGTACCCAGATATATAAAGCAAATACTATTAGTGTTAAAAAGAGAAACAGGCCCCAGTACAATAACAACTGAAAACTTAAACACTCTACTTTCAACATTAGGCAGATAATACAGACAGAAAATCAACAAAGAAATATCAGACTTATCTGCAATATATACCAAAACATAACATTTTATCCAACAGCTGCAAAATACACATTCTTTTACTCAGCACGTGAATCGTTCTCAATGATAAGTCACATGTTAGGTCACAAATGGAGTCTTTAAACATTCAAAAAGTTAAAATAATATAAAGCATCTTTTCTGACCACAGTGGGATAAAACTAGAAATTAATAACAAGATACATTTTGGAAACCATACAAATACATTAAAATTAAACAATATGCTCCTGCATGACCAGTGTTTTAATGAAGACATTTTTTAAAAATTGAAAAAATTTTTGAAACAAATGGTAATGAAAACACAACATATCAAAACCTATAAAATACAGCTAAAGAAGTATTAAAAGGGGCAGAACATGGTGGCTCATGCCTGTAATCCCAGAACTTTGGGAGGCCAAGGCAGGTGGATCACCTGAAGTCAGGAGTTCAAGACCAGCCTGGGCAACATGGTGAAACCCCGTATCTACTAAAAATACAAAAATTAGCTGAGCATATTGGCGGGTGCCTGTAATCCCAGCTACTCGAGAGGCTGAGGCATGAGAATCGCTTGAACCCGGGAGGTGGAGGGTGAAGTGAGCCGAGATTGCGCCACTGCACTCCAGCCTGGGCGACAAGAGTGAAACTCTGTCTAAAAAAAAAAGAAAAAAAAGTACTAAAAGGAAAGTTTATAGCTATAAAAAATGCCTACATCAAAAAAGAGGAAATTTTTCAGGTAAACAATCTCACAATGCATCCAAAAGAGCTAGAGAATAAAGAGCAAGCCCAACCCCAAATTAGTAGAAGAAAAGAAAGATTTAAGCAGCTGGGCAGATATACATGAAATTGAAATAAAAAAATTTAAAAATCAGTAAATCAAAATGTTCTTTTTTAAAAAGTTAAACAAAATTGATAAACCTTTAGTGAGACTAAGAAAAAAGAATTCCAATAAATAAAATCAGAAATGAAAAAGAGACAGTATAACTGACCCTGATGGTCCTATGAATTTCTGCATTGTAGTTTTATGAAGGTGTTTTTACATTTTGAAGAAGCAGTCACCTTTTCCAGTCATTATGGTGGAATTGCTTTGGTAAGGCAAAATCTTATCCTGCAGAGGAAAAGTGACAGCATGTTGTGGCATGCTGTGGCATTGGGTCTAGAGGCACAGGGCACCAAGGATGGGAGTATGTGGCGGCTCCAGGACTGTGGGGTGCACAGTTCATCAGCTCGGCAATAGTGGTCTGTAATGTGATGCTGGCAACTTTGTTGTCCTCATTGGCAAGAGCTGTGGGAATTCTGCTGTGGATGTAAGGTTTGTTGGGATGGCATCTCTACGTCCAGTGTCAGGAGGCAGGGGCAAGTAGCAGTGGGGACCAGAGCTAGCTATGGGTCCTGGCTGCAGTCACATGCATGGCAGCAGAGGCAGGGGCTGATTGTGAGTGCATGTATAATATTGGTGGCTGACAATGTGAACATGCACAATTGCAGGAGCCAGCTACGTGCTGGTTACAGGAGTCAGGGTGGCTGCATGTGAGTGGGCAGCTATGACCCAAGCTGGAGTTGTGCACATCTCTACAGTTGCAGGCACTAACTGTGGATGCGAGCATGATCACCTGGGCAGGCACCTGGAAGCAGGATCAGTTATTTATGCAGGCACAGCTGTGGAGACTGGAGCTGGTAGCATATACTAACTGAGTGTAGGGGTCAGCCTCAGGAACTCACATCTGCCTATATGAAAACCAAACCAGTGTCAGGGAGCTCATGGCCATTTGTGGGCACATGTGTAGTGAGTTTTCTGGGGTTCTGGGGTAGATCAGCCTTAAAAGCAGCAGCTGGGTTGAATAAAGAATGAGGAGGGCAGGAGTGGTGGCACAAGCACCTGGAGACTGTGTAGGAAAAAAAAAACACTACAAGGTTCTAAGCAGCAAAAACTTTAGGAGGGTTGCTGCAGCTATTCTGGCTGTCAGTTTCCTCAGGGGAAAAGCTTCTAGGGTATTCTATAATACAAGCTCCTAGGGTTGGCTATGGTGAACACTATGGGGTTTCGGGTAATCAGTGGTGAAAGCTGCAGGGCATTCATGAGGACCCTAAGGGTTGATGAGGTCATCAGAAGAGAAGTCAGCTGGAGTGCTGTACAGAGCAGGCCACTGGGAACTGTGATGGTTCCTGCTTCATGGCTAACACTGATAGACCCTATCCCTCTTCTTTTTTCACCTGTGTCTCTAGGTATCTCAGCTATGTTGGTTTCCCAGGCAATGGGGATTGAGTGAAACTGTAGTTGGTCATTTGGGCAGTGCCTCAGTAGGCTGGGGAAGATGGTTGTTCTCCCTACTTTCTTTTTCTTTGTAAGGGAGCACTCATGAGCCAGGGGGTTCCATCTTCATGATGAGCCGTTCTGGCCTGGGAGATGGGGATGATACAGGAAAAGTGAACCTATTCTTCCTATCCTTGTAATTTGTTTTTCCTTCCACTGTATTGCTATAGCTTAGGTGGAGTCCTGAGCACTTCCACGGTTATTTTCATTAATAGATAACTGTCAAATTGCTGCTTTTTGTAGGGGCAAGTAAACTCATAATCTCCTATTCTGCCATCATGTTACAAGAAAGAAAAAAAAAGTTAATAAAATGTTAAAGTGGCTAATAGTGGAGCTAATTAACTCAAAATTTCAAAACATAAAACCATGTATAGTTCTTTATCCTATCACCAAATGGACTTCAAAATTATGATATATATTCCAGAATCTTTATTATTTACCAATTATTCTGATTTTAATATTGTATGTTTTCCTAGAAATATCCAAATTTTCTGTGACTTACAAATTATAATTACGGGGAAGGAAATTATTTATTGAGCAACTGTCTGGGTTTTTTGTTTTTGTTTTTTTTTTTTTTTTGGTCTTATGTTCCAATTAAAAGTCTGAGGCTTCAAATAACTTTTGTTTATGTAAGTTACACCTATTTGTTGCGGGAAGTCAGGGACCCCAAATGGAGGGATCAGCTGGAGCCACGGCAGAGGAATATAAATTGTGAAGATTTCATTTTAATATGGACATTTATCAGTTCCCAAATAATACTTTTGTAATTTCTTATGCCTGTCTTTACTTTAATCTCTTAATCCTGTTATCTTTGTAAGCTGAGGATGTGCATCACCTCAGGACCACTGTGATAATTGTGTTAACTGTACAAATTGATTGTAAAACATGTGTGTTTGAACACTATGAAATCAGTGCACCTTGAAAAAGAACATAATAACAGCAATTTTTATGGAACAAGGGAAGACAACCATAAGGTCTGACTGCCCGCGGGGTCAGGCAAAAAGAGCCATATTTTTCTTCTTGCAGAGAACCTATAAATGGACCTGCAAGTAGGAGAGATATCACTGAGTTCTTTTCCTACCAAGGAATATTAATATTAATACCCTGGGAAAGGAATGCATTCCTGGGGGGAGGTCTATAAACGGCCACTCTGGGAATGTGTGTCTTATCCAGTTGAGATAAGGACTGAGATACACCCTGGTCTCCTGCATTACCCTCAGGCTTACTAGGGTGGGGAAAAGCTCCGCCTTGGTAAATTTGCGGTCAGACTGGTTCTCTGTTCTCAAATCCTGTTTTCTGTTATTTAAGATGTTTATCAAGACAGTATGTGCACCGCTGAACATAGACCCTTATCAGTAGTTCTGCTTTTGCCCTTTGCCTTGTGATCTTTGTTGGACTCTTATCAGTAGTTCTGCTTTTTCCCTTTGTCCTGTTCCCTCAGAAGCATGTGATCTTTGTTAGATCCTTACTAGTAGTTCTGCTTTTTGCCTTTTCAAGCATGTGATATTTGTACCTACTCCCTGTTCTTACACCCCCTCCCCTTTTGAAATCCTTAATAAAATCTTGCTGGTCTGAGACTCAGGTGGGCATCATGGTCCTACCAATATGTGATGTCACCTCTGGTGGCCCAGCTGTAAAATTCCTCTCTTTATACTGTCTCTCTTTATTTCTCAGCCAGCTGACACTTATGGAAAATAGAAAGAACCTATGTTGAAATACTGGGGGCAGGTTCCCCCAATACCTATTGATATTTCTCATATCAGAAATTTAAAAGATAAATTTTGGAAATTATTTATTTATTTATTTGAAAAAATCAAATAACCAAGTAGATGTTAACCTGAACAAATATTTTTATTAAAATATATATGTATACTTCCAAAACCAAACCAAATGAATAGAGCTTTGTACCTCAGTATGAAGCATAAATTTTTTAAGCATAATTTTCATTTGTTGTGCAGAATAATAAAAAGATATGTAGTCAATGATCAAGATATGGTAAAATTGGTAATTGTTACTCCTTTACAAAGGACATCCATAAGTACTAAAATAAATAATTTTTTCCTTCAATGAATGAATGCTGCTGAAAAATACAACTATTGCTAAAATAGTTTCGTGCCACTACCTCGTTTCGTGCTAAGATACAGTTTTAACCATCACTGCTTTTGCATCACCAGTGCAAATAACAAAATAGTAAAAAAAAAGCAAATAGTTTGATTTTTTGAATTCCCTAAAAATGTCTCACAAATTGATGAACGACACTTTGAAAAATACTAGTTTATACTAACCTTAATTTCAATGTCTTCTAAACAACAGTTTCTTCAAAAAGAAAGGAGTATTATCAATTGAAGTGTATTCTAGCTCAAAGATGATCTTCACACAGTATATTGAATATATATACATACATGTACTCATTCTATATTCTATGTTTACCAAAAAAGAGTTGCACTGTTAGAAAACATGTAGATGAAAAGCACCAGATCATTTTCTCAAACACTTTTAGGATTTTAGGACAATAGATTTTGTTATCAATTTCAAAATACCTTCTCAAGCATCAAAGATATTTTAGTCACTAACATAGTTCATTTCTAAGTTTTTAACGTATGGAATATTTTACAGTATGTAAGATAAAGTCATTAGCACAAGTAGTTAATTGGTCACATTTCCTACCAAACTTTTGGATTCATAGTGTGCTGATAAGAGTCTCTGGGAAGGAAATGATGATACAAAGATAGAAGTACAAAGGTTTTATTGGTGATTAACACTTGTGAAAGGAAAGGGGAGGAAGCAAGATTGGGTAGATAAGACATCAGATTGTGATGGAGACCTGAAAGTCTTTACCAGCTCAATGGGAAGTGCGGTAGCAAAGACTGACCATTAGTCCTACATTGGGCAGAAATGGCCAGGCTATGGTATTAATATTTCCTGATCAACGACTGGGAGCCACCTTGAGAAGAATGTGACCTCAGCCTATAGGGTTTCCATGTAACTTAGTGAGTAGCAGTAACAAAATTCTGTGATTGGTTTATTTACCTATCACCAGGAAATTTAAAATATCTAAATCATTATACTGATCAGTATAATGCTCTCTGTCAGCAAATTTTCCAAACTTACCATTGGTGAAAGTTTTAACAATTATATTACTACATTCTACAAGTGGCTGCCTATATTCCACCAAAAACCAAACATGGGGTCATCGTTGCAGAAATGCAGTCAAAAGTGATTATGCCCTCAAATTCCATATTTCCCACCTATTTTTGTGGACCATTTGTGCTGGTGTTTTATGGGATGCAGACACTGATACACTTAGGAGCACAAAAGATTTATTGGAGACTGATGCAGAGAGAAACCACCGACAATGATGCAGACCTGACAAAGTCCTTGCCAGTCTAACAAGTGGATTTACAGCAAGTATCATCATTAGAGAAGTCTCACATTGGGCAGAAATAGCTAGACTTTGTTCTTGCTTAGTCCTTGGCTGAGATCCTCTTCAACAAGAGCATGACCTTGGCCCAAAAGCTGAGGCTTTCTTCTGTGAGGCCTCTCACAGCTGGAGGCCATCAGCTAACCACACACTTCAAAGCAGGATGACCTTTTTAGAGGGTCATCTGAACTCTGCATCTCAGTATGTAACACAGATATTTACCAGTAAACTTGAAATCAGATAATAATATGTCTATCTGTTCACATAAATAAAATACTGCTGCATGATTTTAAAATATTGGGAAAGGAGAAAAGGAGCTCTAATATTTCTCAAGCTACTAAGTGACTATAATATATTCTTTCCAATGAATTGACACTTTAATTACTTGGATGATTTCTTCAGGAACACAGCTGGAATCAGAAAGGCCATAATTACTCTTTCTATAATATTTCTGAGTCTTAAAAGAATCATATTGGACAAATTTATAATATGAGGATTTTCTTTGTAATTGTCCTCCAACCTTTCTAAGAAATTTAAGAATGCCCATGTATCGCACATATTGTACTGACAAGTATTGGATCCTGTTTCATGGTTAGTGGTGCATTTTACAATGACTCCTTAAAAGCTTTGAAACAGAAGCTAAAAATATACTATGCTCATTGACCTTTTGCCATATTATGTTGTTTAAATCTCTTGTGCAATGAAATAATGATTTTTCTTTTACAAATTGGAAAGCACAACTCTCAATTTGAGATGCAACAAAAATAACACCAACAAAAGTTAGAGTGAGTTCCTAGAAACAAACTAATGTGTCTAGAAATTCATTTCTTCCTTGATTTTCTAAAATATTGCTGGCCAATTTTCCAAAATGCTAGCTGCATTGATGTTCTTGATATGTTATGTAAACAACTGACATCTAGTCTTCCAGTCATATAGAACTACATTTATGATAAAATGTTTTATATTTATATACATTTATAGAATTGCAGCATTAAAATATGGCTCTAAGGCTATATTTGCAAAGAGTTACTGCAAAATATATCTAAGACTAACTCTTTGGAATCACCTGCTTAAAAATTACTTCCACAAGCTGAGGGAGAGAAATGAAGTGCTCAATCATGATAGTTGTTTTTAGTTCAGGAATTTGTATGACTGACCTCTAGAATGTGCAGTACTATTCAGTAAACAAGTTCCTAGTTATCAAGTCATCTTCGTGTAATGCTGGTAGCGTAAATCTCCAAAGAATTATAGGAATGAGATAAAGGTTAATTATATACTTGAAAAACTTAAGCTCAGAAACCCCCTTCATTCTTGTAGCCTTTGATCTTGATGATGAGGGTGTGCTGCAGAACCCAGGACCTATTATCACAGAACTAAACACAAATACAACTGGTCAAGGAATCAGAGACACTGAGGAAATATTCTGGGGCAAGTGACAGCAATTGCAGGCCCAGCTACCGCATCACATTAAGGGAGTGAGTCAGTGGATTAGTATCTGTGTGTGTTATAAAATGGCTCCTGTCTCTTTTCTGACCTTCAGTTCTCACCAGAAAAACTCCTCATACTTCATCTTAACCAGAAACATTGCAACAAAAGAGAATTATGGGAAATGTAAAGATCAATGGTTAAATCAGTTATCCTTTCTGTTGTATAACTTCCAATTAACATTTAGCTGTGCTGTGAATTTAGAGAGAAAATCAATTTCTGCTATTTTAAAACTTTCTATAACCAAGGATTTTTCTGCTGCAAAGAACATTCAGAAGAAGCCATCGGTTGTCCTTTAAAATTTCACAAGCTATGTTACAGCATCATCCAGAAACCAAGGAAACTATACAGATGAAACCATCACTTCAGAAAACAAAATAATCAAAAGCTTGCTGTTTAGAAACCTTGTCAAGGAAGTGGGAAATCATGCAAGACATTAGTGATTATACCAATTATCTCTGTTACTTGAAATAATGCATTCTGTCAAGAGCTACAGCAATTGACCCTCTTCTTTAATTAAGCATATCTATGCACTGATGGACACATAGTATTGTATAAAGACAGAAAGTAACAAAAAAATTAAAAGGCAGAGGAGAGTATAGGGAAGCAAAATAATATTAAGAATAATAATAATGATAATAATGTGATAGCAAATATTTACAAATTCATTAGACATATAATTTTTAGTGTTTATTTTAATATGAAACTGTTACTAATTAATTACAGGTTCAAAGTCAATGGTTAAACATGGAGATAAGGTGACTAACTAGATACTGACAGGAATAACTTCTTCCACTGAGAGACCAGACAGACCAACAAGAAGACAGGTGCACTCCAAACAGGTCTTCAGAAAGAAGGCATTGACAGTGTAGGGGAGGAGTACACAGACCCTGGACTGAAAGGGAAGGAAGCTGAGAACCCTGCATGTGATTATTGAACAACAGGATGAATTCCTGAGCCTGAGCAGCTCCTGGGGAAAAGGTAAGTAAAATAGTCTTGAACTAGCACCTTCTTACCACAAACCTCCAGAATCCTAGCTGCAGGAGATGCCATGGCCCCCATGGACATTTGAGTTGGCAGAAACAACTGCCTAGAAAGTTGACAGAGATGGAACTCCAACCTTCATGAAGCACAGAGCGTTTGGCATAGGAATAGCTGAAGAGGAGCATGGCCATGGGTGCCCATTCCCCAAGGCTCACCATATCCCTCTAGATGGATTTAGCTTTTGTTGGTTGATGAATCTGGACAGAGCAGGGCTATCTTGCCTATGAAATTAAGCCAATCTGATCTATGTGTCCCCCTTTCTGCTGGCCTACCACAAGTTCTCTGCCTGGCTGCACCCACTTGCAGCATGGCCTCAGCTGCCTAGTCAAGGCACTTGCCAGAGGCCACCACCATAGTTCTTTTGCTGGCAGACCATGCCTAACAGTCAGAGAGCCTCTGTAGGTTGGTCCCCACAGGTGCCCTCCCCTAACTGCTTCTCCAGCACACTTTCACCCACAATCTCCTTCCACTGCTTCACAGGCACATACTTACCCACAGCCTCCCCACACTGTTTTGCTGGTGCACACTGGCCTGCAACTTCAGTGTTTCATTGATGCACATCACCTGAAGCCTCATCTTGCTGCTTTGCTGGCACACATAAACATGTTGACTTTGCCTCCACTCCATTGCCACCCAGCCACTGGCACACACACATTTGAGGAACCCATTGGTGACCCATTGGTGGCACACATGCATAAGGGAACCCCTTCTGTGTTGCCATCTCCCACCGAAGTGTGTTGGCCTTCAGCCTCTGCACGCCCCACCCCACTCCCATTAGAGTCCCGTTGCCAGTGGACTGGGAACACCTTGGACCCTCCAGTGCAGAAAGTGCTTAAACTTAGGGGGCCAGAGGAAAAAGCAGAAGCCTGGTCCTAGATCTACAGAGCAGCCCAGAAGTGTTGAACTGAGCCTTGGTTGACTGAAATCCTCCAGAAAGCCAAAAGAAGAAACCCAGCTCATACCACAGTAAAAGCATCAAGGACACAAAGAATATAAAAGCAAAAATCCCCAGCCAGAGAGCAACTACACACACACACACACACACACACACACACACACACACAAATCAACTCACACAGATGAGATAGAACTAGCACAAAAACTCTGGCAACTCTAAAAGCCAACATGTCTTCTTACATAAAAATAACCACACTAGATTCCTAGCAATGGTTCTTATTGATAATGAAATGGCTGAAATGACAGACCTAGAATTCAGAATCTGGATGGCAATGAAGATCATCAAGATTCAGGAGAATGTTGAAACCCAACACAAAGAAGTTAACGAATCCAATAAAAAGAGATACAAGAGCTAAAAGACTAAAGAGACATTTTAAGAAAGAACCAAAATGATCAACTGGAGCTGAAAAACTCACTACAAGAATTTCATAATGCAATTAGAAGTACTAACAGAAGGAGAGACCATACTGAGGAAAGAAAAATTTGAAGAACCCCTGCAAAATATACAAGTTGACCATCCTCAAAACACATGGTCATCAAATTCTTTATGGTCAGTTTGAAAAAAAAATTAAAGGCATCTAGACAGAAGGGGCAGGTCACATACAAAGGAAACCTCATCAAGGCTAAAAGTGAGACTTTCAGCAGAAACTCTACAGTCAGAAGAGATTGGGAGCCTATATTCAGTGTCCTTAAACAAGAGAAATTCCAAATAAGAATTTCATATTTAGCCAAACTAAGTTTCATAAATGAAGGAGAAATAAAACCTTTATCAGACAAGTAAATGCTAAGGGAATTCATTACCACCAGACCTGCCTTAAGGGAATGCTAAACATGAAAACGAAAGACCATTACCTGCCACCACAGAAACAGACAGTTAATTACATAGCCCACTGAAAATATAAAACAAGTATACAATCAAGTCTATATAACAACCAGCTAACAGAATGATGGCAAGATAAAATCCTCCCATATCAAAATGAACCTTGAAAGTAATAAAGTTAAACACCACACATGAAAGGCACAGAGTGGCAAGTTGGATGAAGAAGCAAGACCCAACTGTATCCTGTCTTCAAAAGACCCGTGGTACAGAAAATGACATGCATAGACCTGGAGTGAAGCGACAGAGAAAGGCCTATCAAGCAAATGGAAAACAACAAAGAGCAGGGATTGTTATTCTTCTTTCAGACAAAACAGACTTTAAACCAAAAAAGATAAAAAAGGATAAAGAAGCGTATTACATGATGACAAAGAACTCAATTCAACAGAAGAATTAACTATCCTAAATATATATGTTCCCAATATTGGAGCACCTAGATTGATAAAACAAGTTCCTAGAGACCTACATAGAGACTTAGATAACCACACAATAATAGTGGAAGATTTCAACAACCCACTGAGTTTTATGCATCTCATCAAGGCAGAAAACTAATGAAGATATTCAAGATCTAAACCCAACATTTGACCAAGTTGACCCAAAAAAAATTATAGAACACTCCCCCTAACAACGAGGGACTATACGTTCTTCTCATCTACACATGGCACATACTCTAAGTTTGACCACATGCTCAACTATAAAGCAATTGTCAACAAATTCAAGAAATCTGAACGCATACCAACCACACTCTTGGAGCACAGAATACAAAAAAAATGGAAATCAAGACCAGGAAGATCTCTCAAAATCACACTATTACAAGGAGACTGAACACATGCTACTGAATGACTATTGTGTAAACAATGAAATTAAAGCAGAAATAAATAAATTATTTGAAACTAATGAAAACAAAATTACAACATACTAGAATCTCTGAGACACAGATAAAGCAGTGTTATGAGGAAAGTTTATAGCACCAAACACCACTTCAAAAAGTTAGAAAGATCTCAAATTAACAACCTAATAGCACACCTACAGGAACTAAAAAACAAGAGCAATACAACCCCAAAGCTGATGCAGGAAAATAAATAGCCAAAATCAGAGCTGTATTAAAAAGATGCAAAAATACATACAAAAGAGCAATGAAACCAACAGTTGGTTTTTTAAAAGAATAAAGATTGATAGACCACTAGCTAGACTAATTAAAAAAAAAGGAGAGAAGATCCAAATAAACACTAACAGAAATGACAAAGGTGACATTTCAACTGACCCCACAGAAATATATACTCAGAAACTGTTATGAACATCTCTATGCACAATAACTGGAAAACCTGGAATAAATGGATAAATGTCTGAAAATATACAAACTTCCAAAATTGAATCAGGAAGAACTTGATGACCAGAACAGATCAATAATGAGTTCTGAAATTGAATCAGTAATAAAAAACCTAACAACCAGAAAAAGCCTTGGATCAGATGGATTCACAGCTGAGTTCTACCAGACACATGAAGATTGGTGCCAATCATCAGATTAGTACCAATCCTACTGAAACTATTCCAAAAAGTCAAGCAGCTACTCTTTCATAACTCATTCTATTAGGCCAGCATCATTCTGATTCTAAAACTGACAGAGTCACAACAAAAAAGGAAAACTTCTTTAATCCAGCAGCACATCAAAAAGTGGATTCACCATGATTGAGTAGGCTTTATTCCTGGGATGCAAGGTTGATTCAACATATGCAAATCAACACATTTGATTCAGTATATAAACAGAAATAAAAACAAAAACCACATGATCATCTCAATAGTCACAGAAAAGGCTTTTGAAAAATTCAACACATTTTCATGTTAAAAACCCTCAAAAACCTAGGAATTGAAGGACTGTACCTCAAAATAATAAGGGCCATCTATGGCAAGCCCACAGCCAACATCATACTGAACTTGGTTTTCCAGAAATTAAGGATGCCATTTTTACTGAAAATATTGGCTTTATGCTCAGGTTCTCTTGATTAACTTAGCCAATGATTTTTCTACCTAAACATGCAAGAAAAATGAAGCAAAAGTTTGTAACACAAAAATCTCTGTGAATTTTCAAAAGCCAAATTGTATATCCCCTGTAATATTACTGCTTACGACCAGTTCCTTTCTGACCCAGTCAGATGTAAGAGGCCTCTAACTGGATCCAAGCCAATCAATTCCATTATCAAATCTGTTCCTGGACCCAGTCCAATTTCTGTTGCAACTCCAAACCCAATTTAGATCAGAAATTTGCTCAAAGAAATCCCTGGAGCTCCGAAATCCGAGAGGGAGCTTACCCATGATCTCCAGCTGCTTTGAGACATCAATGGACACAAACGGGTCCTGCAGGTACCTTGTGTGTTCACTCAGCACTCCTGGAGGTTTCTAGTAGCTCCACTTCGGATCCTGCTTCTGACACCATCTAATAAAAGAAGAACTTCAGCTGAATTAAATTTAAAAAGTTTAATTGAGCAATGTATGAATTGTGAATTGGGCAACCCCCAGAATCACAGCAGATCCCAAGGGGTGCCTTGTGGTCAGAACAAATTTATAGACAAAAAAAAGGTAAAGTGATGTACAGAAATCAGAAGTGAGGTACAGAAACAGTGAGATTGATTACAGGTCAGTGTTTAGCTTATTTGAAAGCAGTTCAAACATTCAGCAGTCTGTGAGTGGTTGAAGTATGGCTGCTGGGATTGGCAAACACTCAGCCATTGTTATAGGTGCATACTAAGTTAGGTTTTCAATTTTGTCTGACTATTAAGCCAGGTTACAGTTCATCAACCAGGACTCAAATATAGAAGTATGGAGTCTTTCTCAGGCCATATTTAGTTTGCTTTAACACTGGAGGCCATTATCCTAAGCAAATTAACACAAGAACAGAAAACCGAATATTCCATGTTCCTGCTTGTAAGTGGGAGCTAGTTAGTGCACATGAACACAAAGGGGAAACAATAGATTCTGGGGCTTACTTGATGGTGGAGTGTGGGAGGAGGCTGAAGATTGATAAACTATCTTTTGGGGACTATGCTTACTACTTGGGTGATAAAATCTTTTACACCAAACCTCAATAATGTACAATTTACACGTTTCAAACCTATGCATGTACCCCCGAAACTAAAATAAAAGTAGAAAAACAAGTCAATAGTTCTTTGAAAGTTTTTTATACTGATTTTTTGGACTCACACTCACATATTCATTATCTACAAACAAAATACAGGGAGTTTTTCTGAGCATTGCCCCTGAAAACCCCCGCTGACATTTTTTAGGTAGAATAATACTTCAAGGGAAGGCATTCAGATCCTTCAACAGTTTTAATGATTATTTGTGAAAAACACTCAAAGTCGTATTTTAAATAATGTTGGTTTTAGATTATGGGTGTCTGAATATAGTACTTTGTCTATTCTAATTAGCTTCTGAAAAAAATTTAAAAGCCCTTTCTAAAAGATCTAAAATTATATTAAAGTTGAGATTGCCTGGAGATCAAAATATTTCTTCCAAAAATGAAACCCATCATCATTAAATTATATAAATATTATTTTCATTGTTCTGTATTGTTTTTATTCTTCACAACATAATCCAATTTGGATGTATAATTAAAGAGAGGTACATTAGATACAACCTAGCTAGTTATGCCCTTTCAAAAGAAATAGTAAGTTGAGGCTATTCACTTTTGAAAAACTGATTAATGCATCTTTTCATTGCTATCACTTTTATTGTTTTTTGGTTTTCTGTGTTCTTATCTGGAGTTGACACGTGGAAAAATAAGTAACAAATAAAGGTAGGCTTTGTGGCCTTCTCTAAGTGTCAGATAATATGAGTCAACTGTTCCAAAAATTAGTAATATTGAACAGTTTGTTTCATCTTTTGATTCAATATAATCTTTCTTTTCTCCATTACTTTTGAAAATTTTCCTGTACCTTTTTATTCTAATGTACATTGCTCCTAAGTTGCAGTGCAAATGGAATTCAAGACAAAAAGCGTGATGGTAGAAAGCCATCAGGTGTGCACACTGAAAGGGAAGGCAATACAAATAGCCAGTAAATGCAACAATATTTAAACCAGCAATTGTCACAATTTTCTCAACTTGCTACTGGTAACATTCTTTTGTGAAACAAACACAGATATCTCCTGTAATAGACTTTGCTTTCCTTTAATTATATCTGACAAGCTTATAGTAACTAAAAACTGGACTATGAGCTTTTTCTAGTCCTCCTAGGTTCTAATCTTGTCTCTGCCAATTTCTATTTATAATTTAATCATTCTGAACTTCTTAATCTTTATGTACTAAGAAGGCATTAATATTATTTGAGACTCAAATGGACATTATGTGAAAATGACTATAAACTGTAAAGTGGTGTTTACATATAAAGTAGTATTATAATAAAATAAAATGTAAAGAAGTTTCAAGAAGTAGAACCAACATACTTATGGCTCCTTAATTTTTCATATTATGAAGTCTTCTATTTATTTGAGAGTTAAAGGTCTAGTAGGAAAAACTGATTCACATTCATCCATTCATTCATGAGCAAAGTATTACAGAATAGACAAAGATAAGATAAAACTGCTTCATGCCAGCCCATGGCAAGTAATAAATGCTTAAAGAACACCTGTTGAATGAATGAACATAATTTCTAGTAGACGGAATTAATTTATTCCACAAATAGTAATTGAGTATCTATTTTGTTTTAGTATTGTGCCCGGTGCTGGGGATACAAAGGTGACAAGTATATACCTGATCCCTTATGCAGTGAAGTTTGCAGTCTGGTGGGAGATGAAGACATTAGTTAAATAATCACATAAATAGATATAAAATTGCAATTGTAACAAATGTTATAAAATGAGGCACACAGTGCAGTGGCCACTGATAATAGGAGGACATAATCAGGCTAAGGAGGTCAGGAAAGACTATTTTTAATAAAAATAACACATTAACCAAGACATTTTAGGGAAATATTAATCTGGTAAAAAAAAAAAAAAAAGGCGGGGGGAGTGCATATTCCAGACTAAAGGAGCAGCATGCAAATGGCCAAATGGTAAAGTGAAAATGGCATGATGCCTTGGACAAAGGCTACAGCAGTGTTAAGATGTTTATTCTAAAAACATTAGCAAAATATTTCAGAGCTTTAGCAGGAAAATAATGTTACATTTATGGTTTGAAAATATAAACTAGATACAGTGTGCAGAATGGATTACAGAGTCCCTGATAGGGGAGGAAAGACTATTAGAAGGCTATAGGAGCAGTCCCAGCAAGAAATGATGCTAGCTATGACCAATGTATTTTTAGTGGGAGACAGTAAGAAAGAAAGAGATTTGAAGTGCCCTTAGTAAGTAAAAGCTAGACAAGTTAGTGGCAAGTTGGCTATGGGAAGTAAGGGAGAGGGAGGTGGTAGAGATTACCTGAATTGTACAACTGAGTGATGTCACTGTCATTTGTTGAGATAAGGAATACTGGAAGATAACTATATTTGAGGGTAAAACAATATTATAAACTTGGTTTTGGTTATGTTGAGTTTGATTGTTGTTTATGATACTCAAGATGAGATGCAAAATTATCACCTGAGTATAAAGGTCTAGGAATTACCTGGCTAATCTCTTTCAGAAATACAAATCTGCAGGTCATATGCATTGAAGCCATGGGTATAGGAAATGTCATCTTGGAAGAGAGTAGAGCATGATTGGAGCACCTAGGACTGAACTTTGAAAAAGTATAACATTTAATAGCTAGTTAGACAAGGTGACTGTGCAAAGAAGATGAGAATAATCATTCAGAAGATATGAAGAATATCATGTCATTCTGGACACCTGTAGAAGAGAGTTTTAAGAAGTAGAATTCGGTCAACAATGTTAAATACTACCAAAGGATAAATAAGATGAGGACTGGAGGATGATCTTGCTAGACACTGGGAAATGGACAATGGAAGAGAACCAAATGAGACAAGTACAAAGATTATTACAGTATCATGTGCAGTTTGATATATGTAAAAAGAGATAAAATGCTATGAGAGTTTATAGAAGCAAAAATTAATCTAGCTGGAAAGAATCAGCAAAGGCATCATGAAGGAATAAGCATTTGATTTGAATATAAAGAGATGTGAAAATAAATATGCAAAAAGTAATAACGTTGGAAAAAGGGAGTTCATCTGAAGACATTTATATTTATATGAGGCTGGAGCATAGAGAATTGGCACAGTAGTCACAGAGGTTAAGATTAGAAGAAACTAGAATAAGTCGTCATACTGTAGAGGGCCTGCAATGAAAGGCTAGAGGGTTTACTTTTCATTTGGTAGGTATTACAGTACCATTTAAGCTTTTGGAAGAGAGAGATAATAAACTATAAAGAGAAGAGAACTTGGAAATGGAAAGACCAGTTGGAGACTATTGCTTTAGTCCAAGGAAGATCAACTGAGGGTCGGAACTAAGATAGTGACAATGGATATAAAGAACAGGAAGCTGATGCAAAGGTACTGAGGAGAGAGAATGAGCAAAATTTAATTATTCATGTAATTCTATTCAAAGGCAGCGAAAAAATAATTATAAAACGCATTGAAAAATATTTCATTGGAAAGTAAGAAATAATGATTTTAAGGCTATTTGAGAATGTGTGTGGTCATCTCTATGCATTTGTTAAAAGCCTTTTTTATCCTGTATTTCATTCCTGGTTGAAATTGCTAACCTGCTTTTCAAGCAATTTTCCACTTGGGTTGGCTCAAGGCTGAAGTGGTCACTTTGCCCTGACCCCATTACATTGCTTTCTCATTCTCATATCTTCCTCTGACCCTTACCTTTAATGAGAAAATCCCTTTGCCACATTGCCAGCAACAGCTACAATTAGTCATTGTCACATCTGTCATGACTCTGCTTTATTGCAATCCTGATGCCCATGGCTCTAACTAGAAGAGAAAAATGTGGAAGAATACTCCTATAAGTAAACCCTGAGGAAGATGAGATGCAAAACTGCAGTTAAGAGGTACTTTTTGTATCATCAGTCGAAGAAATTTGTTTTATTTGAAGGAGCATAACGGGCAAGAAAGGAAGATTTATGGTCATAGGAATTTTTAATAAATGGGGTCTCTGTCTAAATAGATGTAGTATTTGAAGTGAATAAAATAGTATATTTAAAAAATAGAAAAATTGTTTTTAATGCAATAACACTTCTAAGCCTGACAGGTCATCAACATAGTCTACATATTTATTAAATTTATTAAAACTTGTTAAACACCTAACCACAAAAGTTAATCAAAACCCTACATGGATTATTTTTTCTACATGACTACAAATTATTATTGACCAATCTGCTTTGGAAAAAAATATAAACTCACAAACTATTAAGATGCAGTGGAAATGATGCACCATGGCTTCTGAGAATATATGAGGTGATCTTGGTTGTGCATCACTGAAAGACTCATATATGGAGCTCTAAGCTATTTTATTAGGGTTTTCTAGAGGGAGAGAACTAACAGGATAGATGTATATATGAAGAGGAGTTTATTAAGGAGTATTGACTCGCACAATCACAAGGTGAAGTCCCACAATAGGCCATCTGCAACCTGAGGACCAACGAAGCCAGTCTGAGTTCCAAAGCCTCAAAAACAGGGAAGCCGACAGTGCAGCCTTCAGTCTATAGCCAAAGGTCCAAGAGCCCCTGGAAAATCACTGGTGTAAGTCAGAGTCCAAAAGCTGAAGAATGTGCAGTCTGATGTTCAAGGGCAGGAAGCATCCAGCACAGGAGAAAGTTGAAGCCTCGAAGACTCAGCAAGTCTGCCCTTCCATCTTCTCCTGCCTGCTTTATTCTAGCCACGCTGCCAGATAATTAGATGATGGAGACTCAGAATGATGGTGGGTCGGCCTCTCCCAGGCCACTGAGTGAAATGTTAATCTCCTTTGGCAACACCCTCACTGACACACCCAGGAACAATACTTTGCATCCTTCAATTCAATCAAGTTGACACTCAATATTAACTATCACAAGTCCACCCCTTGTCAACTTGAACCCATACACCTCTCCTGAAATCATACATAATCTTCAAATAAAGACAATAATAAGGTCCTAATTATGCTTAACATAATACAGCTATCCTTCATACAACCGGAAGCACACTAATCCTTAACCTAAATGTTGTTACATAAAGTTAACAACACTTAAATGCTGATATGAAGTCAATAAATCCTATGTCACATGATAAAAAAAAGAAATAAAATGAAGATATTTTCTTAAAAGCAAGCATATACATGTACAAACATGTTCTTAAGAAAATAAAGAGGAAATATTAATGACAATTATAGTCTTCATTTCTGCCACTGGTCACATGGTTGTAGCTAGTATTGATGACTATCTTCTTTTCCTACTCATTCGGTGTTCCTTTTGCCTTCAGCAAGCACCTCAGCAGGTTGTGGTTTTTCACCTGGTGGAGTGAACTGAACTTTTATTCATGAAGGGTTTGGGCTATTTGTAGTCCTACCTGGATTGAGTTGTAGTTTCCCATTGACCTTAATCACAGGGCATGGTAATACTAAGAGATGCCCTAAGGGATCCTGTATTCCACACATACCGTCCTTACCTCTATTGTGGAGTAGTAGACTGATTTCATCTTGATAGTCCCAGTCAGTCACCCCAACAAACACTGTAACTCCCTTCTTAGCCTGTTGACTTAGAGGTAGGAGGACCCCAAAGTTACCAGGTGGCAATCTTAACTTCCAGTTTAATGGAATCATTGTTGTGTCTTCTGGTGGCAGCATTCCTCTTTCTGGAACTAAGATCCCTAGGCCAGCAGAACTTAATGTCGCAGGAAAAGGAAGCAAAAATTTCACTAGTGGGTCACTAGGGGTGATTGTAAAAGGTACCACTTCCACTTCCACCCCTTGATTCCTGGACCCGTGAATCCTGACTATGGGAGAAACAGTACCATATAATGGACGCTGACTCAGAGCATACACAGACTTTTGGAGGTCTCCTTAGGGAAGGGTGGAAGAAAGATTAACAGCAGAAATTGTCAGTAGTGTGGTAGGGTCCTTCCTCAAGGGAACTCGGCCTCCCCTTCATTCAAGGGGTTCTGAGTCTGCAAACTGGTTCCAGTCTGGACATTGATTGAGGGGTTATGATTCTCTATTTTTATAATTCAATTAGTCTTTTGTCCACTCAACCTGGAAGTTTTCTGCTTATACAAATGAGGTAAGAATGCTGTAGGCTTCCTACCAATTTCACTTCTAGAAACACGGTGATTAATTAGCCCAAGCCAGAGCTCTACACGAGTCAGACTATTCTGATGGCTGCTTTTCCTCTACTGTTCATTACTGTAACTGTACCCAACTTGCCTTTGACGGATAAGTGCCACCACTTGGCCCCTGCCACCTCTGGATCCAATTTTTCCCATTACACTTAAGTTTTGTAATTTAGTGACTCTGATTCCCACTGTAACATGTGGCATATAGAGAAGAGCAATCACAGAGATCTTCAAGGATGCAGGTGCTCTCCTAACAAGTCTATTTCACAAAGTATTGGTGAAGGGTATGTCTTCTGGACCCTAGCAGCTGGGATGAGTAGGTCTAAAGTGCCTAATCCACTCTAGAATCCCAATCTCCCTAAGTCTTTGGATCCCTTCCTCTACATTAAACCAAGGGAAGCCAGGCATTTCCAGCTGGCTTGCAGTGAGCCATCTTTTGATCCCTATTTCAGCTAACCAAGCAAATAAACTATTAACTCCCCAAGATGCAATATTAAATGTAGAATCCCTACTTAGTGGGCTCATATCAATAAATTCAGCCTGATCCAACTTTATGTTTCTTCCATTATCCCACACCCTTAATATTCATTCCCATGCCTGTTCTCCAGATTCCTGCCTACATAAATTAGAAACCTCAAGCAGTTCTTTTGGAGTGTAGCACACCTCCTTGTGTGTCACTCTGAAACTTACCTCTAGGGGTCTGCTGGGACTTTAGTCTAGTTACAGGTCTAGGAGGCAACAGGGGTGTTGAGGGTAGGTCCTGAAGAGAATCAGCATTGTTTTTCCTGGCAATGTGTTCAGGGGAGGTCGTCACTGTTGCCTCAGGCAATGCAGGGTTAATCTCCTCAGACAAAGGTGGAAAGGCTGAAGGCAGCATGGGTGGAGGACTGGTTGTTGACACCACTGGGGGTGGGGAGGCTGTTTCCTCTGGCAAAAAAGGCTCATCAGAGTTTACAAACTCTGTCCTGGAGTGGTGGCTCACACCTGTAATCCCAGCACTTTGGGAGGCTGAGGAGGGCAGATCACCTGAGGTCAGGAGTTCGAGACCAGCCTGGCCAACATGGTGAAACCTCTTCTCTACTAAAACTACAAAAATTAGCCGGGCATGGTGGCAGGTGCCAGTAATCCCAACTACTCGGGAGGCTGAGGCAGGGAGAATTGCTTGAACCTGGGAGGTGGCTGTTGCAGTGAGCAGAGATGGCACCACTGCACTCCAGCCTAGGTGACAGAGCAAGACTCTGTCTGGAAAAAAAAAAATTGAAAAAGGGTTTACAAGCTTAGTGTCCCCAGCTTCATCAGGATCCACCCACACATTCCCATTCCAAGTTGTAGTGTCCCATTCTTTTCCAGTCAATGCCCTCACTTAAACAGTAGACATCTGGTGAGACTGAGCGTGCAACATTTGCTGCAGATCAGCCACTCTCATGATAAGAGCTTGTGTCAGATTCTCTGTAATTTTAGCCCTTTGTCTGCAGGAGATAAGACTCTCACTCAGGGCAATCTTAGAAGACTTGAGGCTCAGTATGTGCTTCCAGAGCCAGGAGTTAGAATCCCTGAGCTCATCCTTTTCTTTTGTCACTTTGTCCAGCGAACTTAGGAGCAACAAACCAACTTCATTATATTCCTTATTTCTCCACATATGATCAAAGGTATTATGTATAGAGTCACTAAACTCCTTGACTTTCAAAAGCAGTGAATCAGGATAGCAAAGGTATTCATTTTGCATAAGTCTCTAAACAGTTCTCACTAAGGACTATCAGTGCTCTCCATACTATTAGAAGTAGAGTCCTTAGCATTTTAGGATCTAGTCATATGAAGCAGCCAACTCCAGAAACCCCAATACTTACTAAAGAACTCCATCCTTAAAATTCTGTTCCTCTAGAACCATTCTTGGTACCAAAATCTGTACTAGTTATGGTTCTCTGGAGGGAGAGAATTAATAGGGTATATGAATATATGAAGGAGAGTTTATTAAGGAGTATTGACTCACACAATTACCAGGTGAAGTCCCACAGTAGGCTGGCTGTAAGCTGAGGAGCAAGGAAGCCAGTCTGAGTTCCAAAGCCTCAAAAGTAGGGAAGCCGACAGTGCAGCCTTCATTCTGTGGCTGAAGGCCCGAGAGCCCTTGGCAAACCACTAGTGTACGTCCAAGAGTCCAAAAGCTGAAGAACATGGAATCTGATGTTCAAGAGCAGGAAGCATCCAGCACGGGAGAAAGATGAAGAAGGCCAGGAGACTCAGCAGGTCTTCTTTTTCATCTTTTCCTGCCTGTTTTATTCTAGCCATGCTGGCAGCTGATTAGATGGTGTCCATCCAGATTGAGGGTGGGTCTGCCTCTCTCAGCCCACTGACTCAAATGTTAATCTCCTTTGGCAACAAACTCACAGACACACCCAGGAACAATAATTTGCATCCTTCAATCCAATCAAGTTGACACTCAATATTAACTATCACAGCTATCCTTCTAGAAGTCCCTTCCTACCTTGTAGCCTTCATGTTATAAGGAAACACAGACCATTTGGAGAGGCCATATCTAGGTGCTCTAGTCAAAAGCCCTCACTGAGATTCTAGCTGACAGCCAGCATCAACTGCTAGTAATGTGAATAAGCTATCTTAGACATCTATCTCAATCAAGCCTTGGGATGACTACAGCTTCAAGTTGACATCTACCTCAACTGCAGAATCAATCGCACATGATAATTGCTTAGGCAAACCCTTGTCACGTTTCTGACACATAAAAATCACAAGCAAAATAAAATGGTTTGTGTAAGCTGCTTAGTTTTCTTCCACAATTTGTTACATAGTGATAATAATTGGAAAACCAGCTAAGAAATCAACCGATAAGAGGCATGCTTTCCTGTCTTCCAGTACCCCTCCCTCTATGGCCACGTGAGCAGAACAAGTGGAATAGAAAGAGAAAGAGATCTTCAGTTTACCCTCTCCTATTGGCTGGATGAAATATTCCTATAGAAGGAGAATCTACACCTCAGCCAAAAGTGTGCTTTAAAGGATGTGGCTTACGAGCTATTAAACTGTTGGAAAAATGGGATATTACATTTGCTTGTGCCTTCAGTAATCCAAACGTGTTATCATCGAGTGTTTGCTATGTGTTTAATGCTCTGATAGGCACTTTGGGAACTATAAATAAAGAATATAAAAGATGTCTTTTTCTTCAAGGAGTTTACAAACTTCTCAGCACTATATATTTTTGCCACTTGATTTAAACAGTGCGTTTGAAAGATGTCACAGTACTGGAATTCCATAATCACAATTTAGTTTAACATCCAAGCCTCTGCCCATGTCACTGAGTTCATAGTCTTTCACAGTCTATTCCAGCGAAACTGGCCTTCTTGCTGTTCCTCAAACAAGACAAGTATTCTCTTTTTTGTTGTTGTTTTTTTTTCTTTTTAATCTAAATATCCTCCTTTCTCTAGGCTGCCTTGCCCTTAGTATAGACTTCTGTTTTATCACTAGCAAACTATGTGCTAATTGTTTGATTGTATGTGTGTCTCATCACTAGAATGGTGCTGTTTATTACAATTTTATTAGTTCCATTATCTTATGGCCACACAAAATGCCCAATACGTTAACAATGATTGTTTCTGGAACAGAAGTATTCATTCATACATTCATCCATCCGTTACATACTACGAATTTTCTACGTGTCAGTATTATTTGGGTTGTTGAGAATACAATAATAAAGAAGATAGATACATTCCTTGTGCTCAGAGAGCTTACATTCTATTTAGGGATATGCACAATCACTTTCAAATTGTAGTAAGTGCTAAGAAGACAATGTGATATGACGGCGAGGGATGGGAGGCAACTTGAGATAGGGTAGTCAGAAAGGCATCTCTGAGGTGGCATTTGAGCAATGATAAAAATGATGACACCCATCAATGCTAGGATTTGAGGGAGGTACATTCTAGGTAAAAGGAATAACAAGTATTAAGTGTTTTTCGAGGCACAGCAAAAAAAATGTCAGTGTGACTAAAGCAATGTATGCAAGGGAGAGTGAAAGGTAATAAAGTTGGAGAGAGAGCAAAGCATCAAATTAAGTAAGCCATTGTAGAAATTTAAAATTTTTCCTGAGTGACATAGGAGGCGTTTGGAGGGATATTTAGCAGGGGAAAGAAGCAACATAATTTTTACTTTCTAATGGTCACTGCATGCTGTGTGGGGAATGCCTTGCATTGGTGTGACAGTGGAACAGGGAACAAATTAAGAAGCTATTTGCTATGGTACTGGTCTACGCTAAAGTAGATGTTACTTTACCTGGATGGATGAATGAATTAATAAGTGAATGAATAAATAAACAAGTTAACAACAAAATGAATAGATTAAAAAGAAATTGACAATTAAATTAATGAAGGAACAAATGAGAGAAAGAAAACAACAAAGGAGGAACAAGAGAAAAGAAGAGAGACACATAACTGATGATATGCAGTTCCTTTAAACTTGTCATTCTTAGTGATTCAAAACAGGCAAATATCCCAATCACTGTCAGCTGCGGCTTTAGTTGCTGCTTTAGTGAAACATTGAATATAACAACTGTGCCGGAATAAAAACAGTTTCATGCACTTTTTTTGTAATTTGCTGGCATTTTCCCTAAACAATTCTGTCACTAAGAAATGTATTTATCATTTCTCTGTAGTATAAAGCAATCCCAATAGCACCATAATTATTAAAATAGAAAATTGTTATGCCATTTTAATGTTTTTTCAGTTCAAAATTACCTGAAAAAATGTTTTAAAACTTTTTAAAAAATTATTTGAATGCCACATCTTTTTTTTTTTTTTTTTTTTTTTTTTTTTGACAGAGCTTTGCTCTTGTTGCTCAGGCTGGAGTGCAATAGTGCAATCTCGGCTCACCGCAACCTCCGCCTCCCAGGTTCAAGTGATTCTCCTGCCTCAGCCTCCCAAGTAGCTGGGATTACAGGCATGTGCTACCACGCCCGGCTAATTTTGTATTTTTAGTAGAGACGGGGTTTCTCCATGTTGGCCAGGCTGGTCTCGAACTCCTGACCTCAGGTGATCCACTCGCCTCTGCCTTCCAAAGTGCTGGGATTACAGGTGTGAGCCACCAGGCCCAGCCTTAATACCACACCTTAATGTGTAGTTCTTTTTTACCCCTTCAACCCTTGGCTACAAAATCAAACTGTATTCACAGATTCAGGAATTTCTTTATGAATGCTCTAACCTTAAAGTACATCATGAAAAATGTGCATAGAAAACTTGAATTTAGTTTTAACCACAGGGAATGTATAGTAATATGCACCATTTGTCTGTCTTACAGTTTTCAATAGAGTTAGCATAGATTTCCCTGTCAAAGGAAATTGTTTTTGGTCCATCAACCAGGACTGTGTAAAGGGAACTGGCTACTGTTTGTGCGTCTGCTATGTTCAATGTCTTTAAGGTACAGTTTATTTGGCAGGACACCTTCTAAAAACAGCATGGTGCTCATCGTGGCTGCCAACCTGAGGAACCTAACTAACCTGAGGAGCCTATTGAACACAAAGGGGCTTCTGTCTCCTTATCCTACTCCTATGTAAATTAATTAGTAAACATTTGGCTTTCAAAAAGCCAAGAAAAAAATTATACAGTATCAAAGTAGAATTAATTACTATTTGTCTTTTATAAGGCTTATTTTAAAAAACAAAATAAAAGGAGAATAAACCAAAAACAAATAAAATGGCTCTCTAGAGAAACAAGGTATTGTGAATAGTAAATATATAAGATAAGACAAAGAGCAAGACATTTCTGAACATAATTGTTTTGTTTTCTGAACTATGCATGCATTGCATTTGATCAAAAAATTGATTTGCATAAAAAAGCATGAACATTCTAAAACTCAAAAAATTAAAAATTAGGTAATTTAACTCTATACCAAATCAGTAACATAATCATACAGAGAAAATTACTTCAATAGGCTTTTGAACACAATACACTGAATATACATTGTTAACACTACAAAGAAATTTTACACTTAATTCTCTATTTTCATGTATAGTTATATAGATATGGTAAATTTGAATCTATTTTGTGTATGATATACAATAAGCAAATGTGGTATTTTTAAAACATGGTCATAATTACTTTTCTATTCCTCTCTTCAAGAAATGAAGCTTAATTCCCTTCTCCATGAGTGTGGGCTGGATTTAGCGGCTTGCTTCTAATAAATAGAATTTGGTGGATGTGAACAGAGTGCCATTTCTGAGACTTGGTCTTAAAAGGCATTGTGGCTCCTCATTGTTTTTTCTCTTCGATCACTCTCTAAGGGTACATAAGCAAAACATGTCATGGCTTAGGAATAATTACGCAGAGGTCAGTTAGGTAAGGAAATGAGGCTTTATGCCAGCAGCCAGTGAGAAACTGAGGTCTGAGACTCATCTTGGAGGTATATACTCTAGCTCCAGTGTCCAGTTAAGCCTTCAAATGACTACAGCCCTAGTCAACAATTTGCAACCTCATGAGAGATTCTGAACCACAAATGCCCAGCTAAGCTGCTCTTAAATTTCTGATCCATAAAAGCTAAATGCCCTGTTTGTTGCCTAAAGCTGCTAAGTTTTGGTGTAATTTATTATGTGTTAATAAGTAACTAATTTGTAAATAATTAAAATATATATTCATACATCTATACATAGATATACTAAGAGATGCTATGGTTTGAATATTTGCTCCCCCTCCAAAATTTATATGGAAACTTAATCCACAGCGGAACAGTATAAAGAGGTGGAGCCTTTAGGAGGTGATTCAATTATGAGAACTTCACCCTTGTAAATAAGGTTCGGGTCTTTATGAAATAAAAGTTTTACACAGTGTTCTGCCCTTTTGCCCTTCCTTCCCTTTTTCCAAGTGAGAACACAGAGTTTGCACCCTCTGGAGAATGCAACAACAAGGCTCTGTCTTGAAAGCAGAGACTGGGTTCTCACCAGACACCAAACCTGCCAGCCCCTTGATTTTTGACTTTGTAGCCTCCTGAAATGTGAAAAATAAATTTCTTTTGTTTATAACCTACTCAGTTTCCTGTATTTTGTTATAGCAACACAAGAAGACTAAGACAGAAATTGGGACCAGAAGTGGAATGTTGCTGTAACAAATATCTGTAAACGTGAAAACATCTATAGAACTGGGTAATTGGTAAAGGCTGGAACAGTTTTGAAGTGCATGCTGAAAAAACCCTAGATGGCAGGAATGGATCATTAAGGTAAATTCTGGTGAAGGCTCAGAAGAAGAAAGTTGTAGAAAGAGCCTCTGTCTTCTTAGAGGTTATCTAAGTGACCGTGATCAGAATACTGACAGAAATATGGACACTAAAGTCCCTTTTGATGAGGACTTACATGGAAGGGAGAAATATCTTATTAGAAACTGGAAGGAAGGCCATACTTGTTACAAGGTGGCAAAGAACTTGGCTGAAGTATGTCCATGTCCTAGTGCTTTGTGGAAGGCAGAATTTAAGAGTGATAAACTAAGATATTTGGCAGAAGAAATCTCTATGCAAAGTGTTCAGTCCCACAATGGCTTCTCTTGACTGTTTATAGTAAAATATGAGAAGAGAGAAGTAAATTAAAGATGGAAATTACAATAAAAAGGAAAGCAGAACTTAAAGATTTAAAAAAATTCTTAGCCTGGACATGTAAAAAAGTATAAAATAAAAATATATAACTGGGAGACAATACCAAGGGTATGGCCAAGTGAATATTTGATAAGGAGATAAATACGAATACAAGGAAGTCACGTGTTGTTCCTCAAGACAATGGAAGAACGTATTAGTTCATTCTCATGTTACTAATAAAGACATACCTAAGACTGGGTAATTTAAAAAAGAAAAAGAGGTTTAATGGAGTCACAGTTCCACATGGTTGGGGAGGCCTCACATTCATGGTGGAAAGTGAAGGAGGAACAAAGGCACATCTTACATGGCGGCAGGCAAGATAGTGTGTGCAGGGGAACTGCCCTTTATAAAACCATCAGATCTTGTAAGACTTACACTATCACGAGAACAGCATAGGAAAAACCCACCCCCATGATTCAATTACTTCCTACTGGGTCCCTCCATTGATAAGTGGGGATTATGGGAGCTAAAATTTAAGATGAGATTTGGGTGGGGACACAGCCAAACCATATCAAATAATGACCCAGAAGGCATTCTGGAGATTTTTGGTGCCATCATTCACATCACAGGCTGAGAGTACCAGGACACTGAGGGCAGAACAGTTTTATGAAAAATGCACAGGGTGACCATGAAACCTTGAGGCTCACTCTTCAACACTGCCTCAAGTCTCTGCTCCCTGCATTCCAGTGCAGTGATTTTTAGCCACCCCAACTGTGGCCAAAGTGGGCCCATGTACAGCTCAGTCTGTTGCTCTAAAAGGCACAAGCCATAAACCATGGCAGCTCCCATGTGTTGCTAAATCTGAAGGTGCACAGAGCTGTGGAGACATGGCTACTCCACCTGAATTTCAAAGGATGCCTCCAAGAGCCTTGGGGCTCAGGCAGAGAAATGCTGCAAAAGTCGGACCATCACAGAGAATCTTCAGTGGGGCAATGCCTAGTGGACTCACAGCTTAGGAACCATCCCCAAGATCTATAGAACTGTAGATCCACTGGTATGCAACTCCAGCCCGGGAGAATTACAGGCCATGGGCAGTAAGCCATGAGAGCTGCATAGGCCTCACTGAGCAAAGCCATGGGTGTGGGGTCCTCTGGAGCCCTGGGAACACAACCACTGCCACAGTGCATCTGGAAGGTGAGGCTAGGAGTCAGAATTATTTTCAAGCATCTAGATTTGAAATTGTCTTACTAGGATTTGGACTTACTTGGAACCTATTATTCCTTTCTTTGTTCCTATTGCTTCCTTTTAGAATGGAAATGGCTGTCCTACGCTTGTCTCGAAATTGTATTTCAGAAGCACATAACCTCTTTGATTTCACATGCTCACAGCTGGAGAGTAATTTTCCTTAGAATGAATGACACAGTGAGTCTCACTTGTATCTGAATAGATAATAATTAGATGAGACTTTGGATTTTAAACTTTAAAGTTGATGTTAAAACAAGTTAAGAATCTTGAGGCTATTGAGATGGAAAAAATATGCTTTGTATATGAGAAAAACATGCATTTGGGTAGGGGCACAGGGACAGAATACTATTGTTTGAATATTTCTTTACCTTCCAAAATTTATGTTGAAACTTAATTCTCAATGCAACAATATTAAGAGATAGGGCTTTTAAAAGGTGATTAAGTCATGAGGGCTCCTGCCTTGTGAATGGGATTAACACTATATTGTATCTTTATTAGTGGTGCACATTTTTTTGCTTTGTTAAGGTAAATTAAGAGAAAAGCCCCCAATGTTCAAATTGAATTGGAAATATTAATATAAAGTCATTATTAGTGCTTGGATTTGAATTGCACAAAAAGCTTTATTTGAAAGATGGGGACAACCAAGTGGCTTATCTCTAAGGTCCTAGAGGCATGGGCATCAGGCTCAGGGCAACTGGGTGTCCTAGGGACAGGAGACACGGTTAGGGATCCCAAGCCAGAAGTCAGACCACACAATCTGCTGCATCGGAGCAGGACATCTGGGCCAGGGTCCACAGTGCCTGTCAGAGCCTGGGTTTTACCCATGATATTGAGACAGTGGGTGGTGAGCTAAGGCTACTGGTGGCTGTAGGTGCTGAATTTCATCCACAGCCACAATCAAAGCCAAGGGTTATTCACAACCAACACTGGACAACGTTTAAATACACTGAAAGATCTAACAAAAATCAAGTGATGATGGTCCACTAGCAGTGAGCTCAGCTAGCACCTAGCATATTTCTAAATATTATTTCTCACTCAAAAGAAGAGGGCTTGTAACAGTACATTATTCCAGAGTCTAAAACATCTTATGATGGCAGTAGCCAAGAATGTACTCAAAGACTAAATGTGTCAAGTCAAAATGACCAAGAAACTGTCTTAAAAGGACTCCAAATTTGAAAAAAGAAAGCATCAGAAAGAATAGTTATCATTTTTGCCTTTAAAATACTAAATAAAGATTCATAATTTTGTAATGATAGTCAATGACACAGAGAGATAATTTTGCCACTATTGAAGGTAACTATTAGATGTCAATTTATTACTCTGAAATCAAGAAAGGGAAAATGCATTTACTCTGCCAAAGTTCTTCACCGGGTGATGAAGGAACACTCTTCTTCACAGAAGAGCTAATTATTAAAGAAGAAAAAAAATAGAGTTAGAAAAAATCACCGTTTTGCAATGTTCAATGAAATAACTCATATGAAAATCATCAATAGACACTAAAATGATTAGTAAAATATTTGGGGAGAATGGGATATTCACATAATCCCAAAGTGTCAACTCTCAGATTATTTGCTAATTGTCAATAAAAAGTATATCTTAACAGTGGAGACAACTGGCAGTCATTACCTTAACAAGGGAATAAAAACAAGCATCACTAATAAAGATACAATAGTGTTGTGTGGCTGTGTTGTTATATGATGAAATGCTGAGTATACCACATCATGTATAAATTATTCTCACCAAAACTGTTTAACTTAAATCTAACAAAGCATTTCATCTCAATTTTCAGGAAATCCTGGGGATAAACAAATTAAACAATACCGCATGACCAAAAATAACTGAGCATATTGTATTAGTCTGGGCCCATTCAAAAGACAGAAACCATGCAGTAAATCTAGATTGTAAATTTAATGTAAATAATTGTTGAGCTATTAATGAAAAATCATTTTAAAGATAAAAGGAGATCTCTAAGAGATACTCTAGATTTGAAGGAGAGTACCCAAAACAGGGCATCCCTGGAAGTGGGGGTGTCCTTCTCAGGCCTGGCATTGAGACCTTGTTGCGGAAGCTGTAGTTGTAGCTTTCTGCTAGTGGAGAAGGAAGAAGTTGGTCTACAGTCAATAGGAAAGAAGGAAATAACTCCACAGGTGAAGGGGAATGGGGGTTAGTGGGCTGGCTCACAGAGGGAGTTAAGCCATTGCTGAGAGTCTAAGGCCTAGAGTGTGCAATGTCTTCAGAGAAAGGGCAGTGACAAAGTGGTCATCAGGCCTGAGGCAGGGCTGTGAAGTTGCTGAGGAGCTGTACACACTGGGCATGTGGATG
This sequence comes from Homo sapiens, assembly GCF_000001405.40. Lineage (NCBI taxonomy): Eukaryota > Metazoa > Chordata > Mammalia > Primates > Hominidae > Homo > Homo sapiens. The sequence goes on along the minus strand of NC_000023.11, from coordinate 88,147,394 downwards.
GGGCAGGGAACCACCAGATGTTTTCAAATATGTCTTCACATCTCTGAACAACCATGCAGGAGTAGTAATAATAATAATAAAAAAAAACAAAAACAAAAATGCAGCACACTTGAAAAGAGAGAAGCCACCTTCCTCCTGTCATATCCCTCCAGCATCCTCTATTGACAATGCTGAAAATCAGGTTCATTGTAAAAGAAAATGCTATCTAGTCCATTATCTCAGAGCAGATACTAAAGTTGAATTTGGATTTGAAAGTCAATAAACTGGTAACTGGCACATACACGAATCCAGAATGAGGAACATACTGCAACTGGCCTGGCCTTTTCAATGTGTCCCAGTCATAGTAATAATAAAAAGCAAGATGAGGGGCTATTCTAAATTGAAAATAGAATAAAATGACATGACAAATTCATATATGAACTTATATTGGATTCTGATTTAAAAAGTAGAATTACAGAAGACAGTTGGGGAAATTTCAGTAATACCACGGCATTAAATAATATCATGAAATTGCTAATTTCTTTATGTGTGATAATGGTGTTGTATGTAGTTAGGAAAATGTCCTTGCTAAATTATTTAGAATTGAAGTGTCATGACTATTGTAATTTAGTTTTAAATGACTCAGCAAAATATAAATGTGGCATGTGTTTGCTGTATAAGTTGATAGATAAAGTGAACATTGCAAAGTCTTAGCAATTATGGAAACTAGGTGGTAAACACCTATTGTTTCTTGTACAATTTTTTTCAAATTTTGATGTGTTTGAAAATTTTAAAAATATAATGTTGGAAAAATAAAAGACAACATAGTATTTTTAAATGAAATAGTGCTTGCAACTGACATTTTTGCAGAGAGCTGGCCCCTCACAATATCTCCCTCACCCCTTTCTCTAGGAACAATTCTCAAATATACAATGCTAGGACCCAACCAAAGCTGGGAATGTGGAATTTTGCATTAACAAGTACAGAGAATGTGGATCACTCCACTCAGTCATATTATTCACAGAGCCCTCTGTCTCCCAAACGAGTTCAAGACTTCTGCTGCTGGTCTCCAGAGCTTCCCCGATTCCTACCTTCTTAAAAAGTCTTGGTTGGTTACCTTTACCTTGGATTTTCCCAAGCATTTTGAAATGTCCCCCAAAATGCTTTCATTAAATTCTCTTTTACATTTGCTAGACTAAGTAAAGTCCATTTTTATTACTTGATGCCACAAAAAAATACAGTAATATGGAACGGTTTAGTAGAATAAAGCCAAGGTTTTCCACCTAGTAAAACATAGATACATATCGTGGCTGGAGAACATATTTGTGGTTTTTATAGAAAAAATAATGATTTACTAATTTATAAATTTATGTCTGTTTCTTTTTTCTCTTAGGCCTTAAAACTTGAGTTCTCCTGCAACGTCAGTCCTTAGTGCTTATCAATAAAATGTAACATTTGCAAACAAAGCACAGGTCTCTTTTAAGCCTTAAGAATATAACTCTTCATATACACAAAACATTTAATCCTTCATATAAAATGTAAAAAAGTCTGATTTGTGCACTTGCTAATTACTTTTCTGCTACAAATATCAGCTTCAGTTTAATCTTTAGCTATAATATATGTCTCTATTTACATTTTGATGTCCTCCCATCTGTGTGTATAGGTGTGACTGAAAAGACTAATGCCAGAAAAATAATCTTTTTCACACACTGTATATACAAAGACAGTCATTGGGAATCATGTCTGCAGTTATTGAAAAAGTCTGCTTTCCTTTTTCCTTTATGTCTGAAATTCTTGCTTGGTCTGAAATCCTTATTAACAAAAATATATTCCATTCTTTAAAGTCACACTCCAGATATAGTTCAGTGGTTCATTTATTTCACAGATGCTTACAGTGGTACTTTGTTGCTCAAAATATATGTCTATATTTTTACAGAAGGTTGGTGGGGTTAAAAAAAAAAGTTGGAGACAAAGAGACCTGGTTTCAAACCTCAGTTGTGCTACTTACTGTGTGACCTTGGAAAATTCACACCTGTTCTGCCTTTGCTGTTTCCTTATGTGTACAATAGGAAAAGCAATGCATTCTTCTCAGGGTTGCAGGGTTGCCATGAAGTTTAATAGAATGTATGTAAAGCACCTGACCCAGATATTATATGTATGTTGCTATACATATATGACTCTGTGTAGCAGTATCTGTTGACTTGTCTTACAAATCCAACACACCCAAGGGTTATACATAGTAATAATGCTCCAAAACAGCAGTGATATACATTTGAATTGGATATACTATCTTCCCTAGACAGGTTTATCATGATCATGAAGATTGCATAGTTTGAAAAAATCCTCTCTACTTCTGATATTTTTCCTCCCTTCTTTACTCTAACAACTTTGGAAGATACTGACAATAATAATAGCTAACACACACATGGTATCGCCAATGTGTAGGAACCTCTTCTAAGTATATTACATAACTTATTTAATTCTCTCAATAACTCTTTGAGGTAGGTGGACTTTATTTTCATTTTACATAAAAGGAATGTAAGGCTCAGAGAAGTAACTACTGTATAGACAAAGCTTGTAAAAGACAGAACCAAAATTTAAAACCAGGCATGAAATCAGAATCCATGCTGTAAGTTGCTTTATAAAACCAAATGAAATTTGTATAGATTGAATAATATAATGTGACATTATAGGCTGTTTCTGTTCCTGTATGTATTTACTAATAAGTGAGTTATAAGCCTCTGAAATACAGGTTAATAATAGAAGTCTGTTCTCAATTATAACACCAGCTTGAGGTTAGAGCAGAGTACTGTAATAATACTGAAACTCATTACTTTTCCAATTCTTTTTTTCCCTATTTATGTTTAGGGAGCCATAAGTAGAAAATAACAATCACACTCTCCCATCCTCTGAATTATAACCAGATTGTTTTATTGCTCATAACATCAGCATTAACAAGCTTCCCTTGGACTTTTTAGCCTTATGTTAATACTTTCATAGGGAAGACTTAAGATAAGATAATAGAAAAATAGGCACAAACTCGAGCAACTATCTTCTTCTGGCAACAGGCACTGTTAGGCTAACCTCAACACCTGAAGCAGGGTACCAGTGAAAAGGTCTTTGCCCCTGAGCTTAGAAGGAGGTAGGAAAAAAAAATAGTGTGCTCTCCTTAAACTCTCATACCAGAATTTGTCTCCAATGCTTTATGGTAAAGAAACCAGCAAACGTAAAATCGTTCCCTCGGGGGGTGCAGAGAGATTTTTTGAACCCGATTAGGTGGGGAGCTGTGGGACACAGATTGTTCATCATTTTTCAAAAGGACATTTCACTTACAGCCTAAGAAGTGTTAATGAAGCATTCACACTTTTACCAAGTGAAAAAGCAATAGAAAAACAGCTCTTTCAATCTCTCTTCAGAAATGCTCAGCAGTAACACAGACTGCTCCCATGCAATCTTCGCACAGAAGTAGCATTAAAAGATGAAAGAAAAAGTGGACTCTCAAAATAGAAAAAAATATATATATATATAAAGAAAAACACCCACATACCCACACATTCCCCTTACACACACACACACACACACACTCACACACACACATACGTTTTATTTCTTCTTAATCTTGCTTCTGGTGCGTTAATGAATACATCATGAAAGCAGAATTTCTGGAAGATATCTCCTTTAAGAAAGGCATTTTCCAGCGTCTTTGCATGAAATGAATCCATACCACAAAGAAAACAATTAGAGATCAGGCATTCACTTCTCTGTAAACTGTTGTTGATGGAATTGTATGAATGAACAACAAAACCTGTTTTATCAGGCAACTTTCAATAGCTCATATCACCAGTATCAAAGACTTTATATCACAGCATATGCTCCCTTTTTGCATTTATTAGAGGTATTTATGCTGTCTATAAATTATTCATACAAACTGTTACAAGTCACTAAGAGGCAGGAGAGATAGGACAAGCTGCCAAATATTATATTGTCTTGAAAGAGGCCATTTTAAGTAATCATCCTTAGGCATTTTTTGAAATAAGATATTTAGGACTTATTCAAGACATGTGAGACAAATCCTCTGACAAATTGTGAAGCTTATTCTTATTGTTGTCTACTCCTCTGTTTAATCTTTTCATACTCCTTTAGTGGAAAGTTTTTCAGGACCTTTATTTTTGGTACTACATGCATATTAAGAAGGTAGAACAAGAAGACGAAGGGTGTCTTCTACCTTGCAAGAAAACATACAGGCTCATGTATCTGAATAGCTTCCAGATTTTCTGCTTAATATTTGTTATCTGTCCAAAATGACATAGATGGTGGAAATTCCAGGCAGAGCTGTTGGATGGGGGCAGAGTGTCAGACAACTATTCCATAGTTTAAGGAGTGTGGCCCTATATACAGGTATATATACCTACATACCTGTCTCTGCAGGGGCTGCCTTATTACAGATTAAAATGTTATGGATATTGCACAACCCAAATAATCTAATTGACCATCACTTCCTCATTACTCTCTTGTCAGCAAGGACCATTTATTGATGTTGTTGTTTTTTCTGAAAAGATATGCAAAGCTCACTCTTCAGGGAAAAAGAGAGTTGGGAAATATGGAGGCAAGAGTTGACAATTATGCTGTCACATCACCTTAATACCATTTTGTTTGATGTATTCTACAGTGAACCTATTGTCTAGACCACAATAAACAAGTATTTTTAAATGATGCATTGGTTTCGAGTCACACAGATTTGATGAAAGCCTCATGGATAAAACTATCTGCATCACTTAAAATTCTCTCTTGGGTGATTGCTGCTCAGGTATATCATGGAATCAATGTGATATGGGTCAGATGAGCTCTCAGGCACTTTAGTGGAATTCTTCATACTTGTATTTGATGTACTTTCAAAAAGGTTCATTTTAATCCTATGTATATGTAGTTGGAGTGGAAAATGCACAGATTTTCATTTTATAGTTTATAATGGACACACTTTTCCCCCACAACCCTCGGATGCAAGAAATGTCCCACCTCTATACATTTTCGTAAATCAGATTCTATCTTCTATGCTCCAACTTGTTAGAGCACAAAGACGACCAATACCAGTGATGATTTTGACTCTCCCCCTCGGCTAGAGTCTTACAGTGACAAGAAAATTTCCATAAGGTTCCTATGACTTTCATTCCACTTTGATAGCCACTGAAATGCTCATTGTTTAAGTCCTTTTGGTCCATTTTGAAAGACCGTTTGCTTACCCTCCCTCCATGTTTCTTTGGGAAATGGGAAACTTTGTCAAGTCTACTAGGTGAAGTTATCTGTGAGGAACTTGTCACAGATAACCCAAAATACATATCCCTACCCTAGTTTCAACTAAAATATTCCCTCACTATTCACTGCCTCAGGGCAAACCAATTGAACTCCCTTGACTTTCAATAGTAACCTCTCTTCCTTCATCCTGGATTAGCCTCCACCCTATAGTCAAACGCTGGATATTCTTGACACTTTAAACTTCTGTTTTGGGCGCTAAAGAACATACACTATTAAGCACCTCATGAAGCAACCACACAAGATTTAAACTTGCCTACTTTCACAGGACAGAAGAAAAAAAAATCTCTCTCATTCTTTGAAGTCTCCTGAAGCAAAAAGAACAAAATGAAAAAAAAAAAAAATCAACAAATAATCCTGACCTAAATATTTGGTGAGTGTGCAGTCAGTGATTAATGAAGCCAAGTCTGTAGGTTCTATCTTTGGCTGGGCTAATTAGCATTACTGTATTTTAGACACAAATTGTACCTAAAACTGTAAATATTTTGCAAATCTGTGCATCTAGTCACAAGGATTACTGAAGGTAGATGTTTCAGCAGAAACGTCTAACTCGTGAGAAGCATGACATAAAGTTATATGCATCTTTGTATTTTAAGTACCACTTAGCATACAGTATGTGTTTCATAGACATTTGTTCAATTGAACTAAGCTGAATTGAATTAAAATTGATCACCATTAAGTGAAAGTAGTCTGAGCAACAGTCACTTTTAGTCCCTTTACCTAATGTAGGTAATATTACAGAGTTAGAAGTATAGTTTAACAACTAAATAAGAATCTGGTAGCAAAACCTGCATACAAATATTAAAAAAATATTCTGGATTGGCAAAACTTTTCTAAAACAAACAAGAGCTATCTTAAGTTATTTCACTCCTGGAAAAATTCATTTTAAAGATAAATGAGCATTTTCATGTTTGGGAGTTGTTGACTTAAACCATGATGCTTGAAACATGAGGCTTGAATGAAAAGAGTTCATGTTTTGATTGAGAAGTAGAAATAGAGGTGGGCATGCACTTAATTGGAGAGGACACCTTCCAACCCAGTAGGATTTTAAAAATTGCACTCATCTTCATGACCTCAACATTATTAGAATGCCTTTAACAAGGATTAAATATTTCATTCCACAGTCAGAGTCACTGACTTAATTTCTAATGCCCTGGGAAAGGGAGTAGAGTAATAATTTCACACTATTCGTATTAGTCTGGTTGGGCTGCCACAACAAAATACCATAGACTTACACAGTGTACTTTAAACAACAGAATTTTATTTTCTCACAGTTCTGGAGACTGGAAGTCCAAGGCCAGGGTGCCAGAATGGTCAGCTTCTTGTGAGGACTCTTTTTCTACTCATAGAATGTTATCTTCTTACTAAATTCTCACAGGGCAGGAGGAAAGAATCCTCTGGTGTTTCTTCTTGTAAGGTCACCAATCCCATCATGAGGGCCCCACCTCCTAAAGGCCCCATCTCCAAATATCACCACACAGCTGGTTACGACTTCAACATATAAATTTTGGAGGAACAAAAGCACTCAGTCTATGATACCCTTTTCTGAAAACAGCCTTTGATATTATGCTATAGAAAAAGCAAACCAAGGACCTTTGGCTGGGAAAAGAGAGGTACACCATAGCAAAAGAGAAAATGATCAGAAAATAAGATTAATGGAACAAAAACAAAACCAATCTACTTCAAAATTGTGTGGTCAACCCAAATATTTAAAAAATGTGGCCGGGCGTGGTGGTTCACCCCTGTAATCCCAGCACTTTGGGAGGCTGAGGCGGGCGGATTACCCGAGGTCGGGAGTTCCAGACCAGCCTGACCAACATGGAGAAACTGCGTCTCTACTAAAAATACAAAATTAGCCGGGCGTGGTGGCGCCTGCCTGTAATCCCAGCTACTCGAGAGGCTGATGCAGGAGAATCCCTTGAACCCAGGAGACAGAGGTTGCAGTGAGCTGAGATCACGCCATTGCAATCCACCCTGGGCAACAAGAGTGAAACTCCATCTCAAAAAAAAAAAAAAAAGTTAATTTTGTCAGGATTATTGTTCCAAAATATTATATAAGTGTTAATATATACCTTGAGCTTTCTATCTTACTATATAATCTGACCATATTCCATTTTAAAAGTTCAATATGACATATTCCAAAATGGTACAGAATATTGACATAATTTCTACAGTATTCCAAAATAGTCAGTTGTCTCTCAGAAGTTATTTTGATTGCAATATTGCCTTGTTTTAGACTTTTTACATGGATGTTTTCCACTCACCCCTTGCCATGCCAGAATTTTGTCCTGTTCATGTTTGTATCATGCATAGATAGTATAATATTTGGCAAACACTAGGTATTTTAAAAATAATTATAGGGATGAAAAATAAAAACCTAAATGTCTGTTGTTACTGATAAAATCCTATTTTTTTTGCAACAGGATAACAATTTTGGTTTTCTGTTTTTACCTAGCAAAATACCATTGGTTACTTACTTTTCTAATCTTTTTTGCTATATTTAATTCAAAATTATCTATCAAAATTATTTCAAAGTAAAGAGATAGTGAGGCATTATTTTAAATATAGAATAAAATTGATAAATTTAACCTCTGCTGCCGTATTGTTGGTAATAAGTGAATGATACAGTAATATTTAAATGAGCAGTTTATCAAACAGAATTCGAATTGAGAGAAGTGATTTTTTTTTCCATTCATCACAACTATATATTGCTCCAAGGAGACATAGTATTATTCAAAGAAAGTATAACACTTGGAAAAAGCATTGTGGATTCAGCTTTGGAAACAATCCAGAAATATTTTTAAGTGCCATAATTTTCATTAAGCTTTACTTATGTATGCCACAGGTATTAGTAGATTTTTTTTTTAAAGGAGCTTATTCCCAGCTGTGTTTTCTTCACAGAGCCCATATTTCAGCTTTTCTTTTAAATCTGCTTTTAAAATTGAGAGAAACCTTCATAATTTCTCCAATTTCCAATTCTGAATCAAATCATTACTGGATATTTATGTTGAAAACTTAATTATTAATCTTATATCAAAAATCACACAAAAGGGACAGGTGTTTGAAGAAATGATTTGTTTTATTATATGCCTTTATTCTGAGTAAAATTTTCTTTCTTGTAATATTGCCACAAAACAAATCTATTTAAGTTTCCTGTCAACAAGTGAAAATAAAATTTGTTTGTATATAACTGATACTCCTTGGTGACTTTCAATGCCATTTTTATTTTTTTTGTCCCCTTGTGGAAGTTATTTAATGAAGCAAATTTAGAACTATATGAAGTAATGATGAACCTTGAAGTTACTTTCTTCACAAGTTATGAATTGGAGGGTGTATTGAGAACTATTCAGCTACTCTCTAGCTTTTCAGTGAAACAACTTAGCAAATTTTATGGCTACTCTCTAACTTTCTCAGGTCTCTGCTAAAATAGAATGTTCTCTGATGTTTACCAATATGCAGTTATTCTACTTCCATAAATACATAGTGTGTGAAAAACACCAACATTTTCTTTGACTTTATCTATGAAGGTCTTCTTCCCTATTTATGGTTAGTTGTGTTGTGTCAATCATGCATTATGGACTCTAACCAAGAGAAGTGTAGCCAAATGGAATCCAGGGTAATCTGATGTAACCACACACACATTTTAAACATTTGCACAATTAATCTGTTTTTTAAATAATAAAAATATATTTGGAAATGTTTGTAAGAAAGGACATCTTACATATTGAAAGCAAGGCTTTGGAAACCTTACCCATGTTATTTTCAATATATTTTTCTGCCTTTATTATGGAGCCACCATCTTTATAGACATCAATATCATTATTGGAAAGACAGGAAAGCTTTCAAAGACAGTCATCTTATTGTCCTATTAAGACATTACCCTCTAATATATTTCGAATTTAAATAAAATATTGTGAATGTTCTGATTCTTTTGGCCTTCATTTGTTTATTCCTCCTTTCTACTTACTTGTTCTCCTCAACTCTATTATTGAAACAAGTGCAACACTGATCTTTTCTTTCTTTCATACTCTTGTTCTTTCATGTCCCACAAATATGACCATTATGAGCACTTATTACTGTTTCGGAAAACAGCATATCTGCTATACCTGTGAAGCTTTTCAAAGCCTGCCTTTTCATGGCTTATGATATATAGTAGCATGCCAGTTAATGGTATGATGAACATGTATTTGAGAGTGGGATATTTTAAAAAATACACAGATTTCAATAAAACATGCTTGCTTTTTTATGTAAAAGTTATATAACTTTAAGATAAGTATAACGTTTGAAAATCAGAATGTTAAACAGGCAGTATTCTTGAATATACAGCTCTTAATTTTATCATATTACATATTTGAAAACAAACAAGAATATTTTTGTTGATGTACTTTTCATTTATATAAATTCATTGAAGTTTTAGAAAATGATCCCAAACTTAAAAGGTCCAGCAAAGTCTAGTCAGCAAAGTTCAAAAGGTTTAAATAGAAAAGGATTTTTAAATGAAAATGATATTATTACCTTGTTTTGTGATGAATGATAGTGCTGCTAATGAAACAATGAATAAGAATTCTGACTATCTGTGTGCCGGTACTATTAACATTTCATTAAAAATCACATTAAAATATAGTAAAAAGTGTGAAGTATTTAAACCATGTAAATAATAGCATTTTTATAACCACGGAATATCAGAGCTAGGAAGGAATTTAGAGGTAAAGAAGTCTAAACGAGTGCATTGCCAAGGTCACCAAGCTGATGTGTTTAAATCAGAGCCAAAATAGAAGAGTGGCAATGAGGAGAAAAAAGAAATTACATATGGTCCCTATTTCCATCCAGGCCTGGTAACGGATCTTTGTATAAATATTCTCACGTAATCCTTCTGACAGCCTGGTGAGCTAAGTAGTATTATTATCTTGATTATACCACTGAGGTAGCTAAGATTTTGTTAGTAACTTTTCCATTGTTGACACAGTAAATTTTCTCGAACCAAGGCAGTCTGACTCCAAAACCCTTGCTTTTTCCACTATGCCATTCTGCCTCTAGTACTTTTTTCCTTACTTACTGTTTAATGTTCCTTTCTTATATTATTTTGCTGATGTTGTTGTTGTTTTATGAGAAACAAGACCAGCTAAAAGTGTAAAAATATTGGAAACCATGCCTTATGGCATTCCTATAATATCTATTATAAGATACCTACACTCCTTCACATGAAATTTCAGGCATATATAGCAATTACATGAAGACGAGAAACGTTAAAAACTTATAAAAGAATGATAATAATATACACAACCACTGGGGCATTCTTACTTTCCACAGGTGTTGAGTGTAAGATTAATAATTAATAATCCAATGGAAATAATATTGAATCTTGGGTTAGGAAGGAAAGGAAGAATTGTGCTTCTAGCACAATGATCACCTTGAGTACGGACTCCTATAAAGTTTTACTCCCATTATTCTTCTCTGAATCTTTGAATTATAAAATTTTAAAAGTGAGGAAGTTAGACTGTGTCAGGGATTTCCTCAAATCCACGTAAGGAATGCTGAGGAAATGAGAAAGAGCACAGAACTGGCTGGGCCCTAGTTTCTCCGCCTCCTCTGAAGCTGCAGCAGCTCCACCTTCTTTGGTTGTACACATAGGATTTCTGGTTAATATTTGATTTGATGTAAATATATTTCCACCAAAAACAATAAAAATGAAACATATTGATTATTTTTGAAGTCTCCTACAGTTTCATATCATATCTGTGGTTTCATCAGATTTATAATAAAAACTGTTTAAATCTGACAGAAAACAAAAATCTGTTTAAGTGAGAACACCTAGCCTACCTCTTTTTCCTCCTACCAATACATTTTCCCGAAAACACAGCAATATTTTTTCAACTAGTATAACATTTTTCATTTAGCAAATAATTATCAAAGTTTCTATTGTCTGTCAGAGTGGGTGTAAAGCAGGAAGAGTGAAAAGGAAACTAGAAAACATATGCAATTCTTTTTGAAATAGTAAGAACGCAAACAAAAGTCTCCTTTAAGACTAGCTGAGAGTAAGAAAATTTAATTAAATGGGTCCAAACGTGTAAGAATGTGCTTCAGACTAACAGGAGAAAGTGTGGTTGTGTGATTTCTCTTGCAATAATGCTTTATCTTTAATTATTTTTAACCATAAATGTTGGCACTACTCCATTTTTATTAGAAGAATCATACTGCCATCTAGTGATAACCTTGATGATGATTTTTTGCGTTGAAATAAGATGGTTATTTAAACCTGGGAACTCAGTAACAAATTGAAGAAAATTCCCAAAAGCAATATAAAAGTTTCAAAGCATTTGTGTCAGAGAAATTGTAAAACCTTTAACTGTCATTATGTATCAAAGAACATCAGCTATATTTTCAATTCCTTTTCTTTTTAGAATATTGAAAACCGATTTGTACCCTGGTAATCCGTAGTCGATAACTGATTTTGATGACTTTGTAGAGAAATGTCAATATCAGTTGGATCATCCTCAGTGTGTTGAAAAGAACTTACAGCAACAACCAGTGAGTCTATCTAGAAAAGCTTGTTTGATGTCATTGAGAAGGCTTCCCAGGGACCTTTTGTTTCCATATGTAACTCAAAGATACAGACCTTCAGAAACCATCTTTCTTAATTTCCTTGAGAAGAAACTTAAAGCAGGAATAATATGAGAATAGGTCACCACTCTTATAATTTTCACGTTTTGGTTACCCTTAGGACTTCAGTGTACTTCTATCCTGGTAAGTATTAACACTGCACGAATCACACAATTTGTTATTTTTGTTTTAATAAATGGTTGAATTACACTAGAACATAATGTAAAATACACCAGGATCCAATCATAACCTCCAAAACATAAACCCAAAATGTAAACATGATTATGCCTGTGAAACCTTTCTCTTCTCCTTCCTTATTCTTTCTCTGGTATCTTATTTATTTCTATGACTTCAACCATAATATTTATAAAGAAGACTCTTGAATCGTGTTACATGATAATTTGGGGATATTTGTTTAATCCTCATTGCCTAGTAAGATTTTGAAAGTATAAGTTCTAGTCTATGAATTTTTATATAATCCATAGTGCCATGCATGCAGGATCATCTCAATAATGCTTGTGGAATGATATTGGAAAGGAAGCAATAATTCTTCAGATATCACTGTGCATGTGAGGGAGTGGAAAGTGCCAATGTACAAGTAGGATTACTTCACTAATCTCAGTGCATCAATTCATATAAAACTGAGATCAATTTTAACATTTAACATTTGTGGTTAGTTAAAATTATCAGAAATGTGTTGCATAGCTTTTCTCTACGTAAACTTGAAATATTTAAGTGTTCAATATCTTCATATCACAGAATAAACAAAACATATCAAAACTATGACACAAAGGAACACACAGTATCAAAGGCACTAGTTTGACAACGGGCAAACCATTGCTAGTAAGTTTTTTTTGAGACGGAGTCTCGCTCTGTTACCCAGGTTGGAGTGCAATGGCGTGATCTCAGCTCGCTGCAACTTCTGCCTCCCTGGTTCAAGCGATTCTCCTGCCTCAACATCCTGAGTAGCTAGGATTATAGGCAGGCACCACCAAGCCCAGCTAATTTTTGTATTTTTAGTAGAGACAGAGTTTCACCATGTTGGTCAGGCTGGTCTCGAACTCTTGACCTCGTGATCCGCCAGCCTCGGCCTCCCAAAGTGTTGGAATTACAGGTGTGAGCCACGGCACCCAGCCCATTCCTAGTAATGTTACCAATATCTAGGCATTGAGTGAACATAGCAATCGCTTTGCCCCAAATTTGTTATTTTCCAGCCTGGAAACATTTAATTACTTTAAAATGACTTTGCTAAATGAATTGTTGAATGCAGCAGTAAATCTGTAACAACTAAGAGCAGAATACATGCTTGTTACATAACCCACAGGCTGTGTTAGTGTTCTGGCTATGTTTATCAACATCAACATTCAAATAAAATGTGATACGTGTCTCTAAAAGAGCTGGAGTTTTTATTAAAATACAAAAATCTATTATGAATGTCACAGTCACTTTACATTTCTCAAAACTCTTATGGTGATTACAAGGTACGTTTTTATTTGCCACTTTGTATGAATGAAATACTACTCTGGCAAATGTTTTATCTTCAATCAGATATGGCTCACAAATAGAAGGTAAAAGACTCATTGGCCCTGTTAGCTAACATTCTAATCTATAGCATTCAATTGTAATAAGTAAAATTAATCGTTCAGTTCAGATGCCATAATTTCTCTGATAGAAATGGTCTCAAGTCCTCTCCTGGGGAGAAAGTGAAAAAGACAGACAGCAAACCAATAAAATTCCACAGCCAATCACTTTGCAAAAGTCAGGTTTAAGTTCCACACTTTGTATCCATTAATGAAGAGATGAAGTGAACATCACAAGGGGAACTGAAATTTGTGTTTTTACAGGCTTCAACAAAGTTAGTATGAAATTTGTCTTCATGAACATCCAAGAATAAGGACATGACCATTAATGAGGAACAGGAAATTGAGCCATAAAGAAACCTGGACAAGAAATGTACTATCAGGTCTGAACTTTCAAACATGGTAATTGTTTGAATGAATTACCAAGAAAAATTATGACCATCTCTTCCTTGAGACATTTAAAATGCAGTATCTTTAAGAACCATGCATAATCTTAGGTCTACTGTCTGGGACAACTTAAGAGAATGATGCTCAAAAATGAAACACACTAAATTAAGCCTGGAGTGTCCTTTCAGACGTCTCTTTTACAATTTACAATATAGCAAAATTTCAATTAATCAGAATGTTTGAAGAAAATAAAACCCTGAGAATTTCAATGGTATTTGGTGTGAAAACTATAAAGGAAAAATTCCTTAAACTAGAGTCCAGTGTTATAAATTTCGTATTCGTTATCTGATTCTACTCCCCAGCCACATGAATATAGTAATGTTTTTCTTTGATTCAAACTTTGTAAATCTCAGCGTCATCAACGTGTCCATCAATTCTTAATATCCAGATTAGGAAAATGACCAAATTAAAGAGATATAGTAGTTGAGCACAGCAAACAGAATTTTTAAATGGATTTCATGTTGCAAATAGGAAAAAGGTCAAGGATAACATAATTGGGGCTGAACAACTGGCAGGAAAGACTTGCTACTTACTGAAATGGGGAAAAGTGGGAGAACCTCGTTAGGGTGGAAATATCAGGAGCCTGGTTACAGTGTGTTCATTTTGAGATGGCCTATTCTCCATTCAGATGATGGATAGGCAGTTAGAGTTATGAGTCTGAACTTCAGGTAAGATCCAGATTTGTGCTATAAATCAGCGATCCCCAAACTTTTTGGCACCAGGGACCGGTTTCATGGAATACAATTTTTTTCCACGGAGGGGGTAGGGGTATAACTTCGCGATGATTCAAGCGCATTACATTCATCATTAGATTTTCATAAGGAACGCACAACTTAGATTCCTCACAAGCGCAGGTTACAATAGGGTTTGCACTCCTGTGAGGATCTAATAATGCCACCGCTGATCTGACAGGAGGCTGAGCTCAGCTTAGCTTGCTTGTCTACTGCTCACCTCCTGCTGGTGCCGCCAGTACTAGTCTGTAGCCCAAGGGTTAGGCACCCCTACTATAAATTACCAACCATCCTGTGATCCCTATCTATAATACAATCTAAGTTATCATATTCTACAACACCAGGTCCAAATGAAACCATCAAAAACCTGTTCTCCCCATAAATAATTTTTCCTTATGGTTTCCTGTTTACACATAAAAATGTAAGCATAATGTATTAAATAATCGATAGAGAAATACCCACAGTCTGCATTATCTCATGTAATAACCCAAACAAATCCTAGATCAGAGATTTTTTTTTTCATTCTACTTTATAGATAAGGACACTGAGATGTAGAGGGTTAGGTAGCTTTGTGAATATCACACAGGTGGTGAATTGAGTACTGGTCTACCTGCCTTTAGATCCGCAAATTTTAACCACAACATAATTATGCCTCCTTTGATGATTTTGTTTGACTCCTTTATTTGTGTTACTTTGTTTTTCCTCAGCAGCTGCAGACACACACATACATACACACACACACACACACACACACACACACCTCTTATTAATCAGTGCATTGGAAGATTACCAGCACTTTCATAGGGTCAGGTGCTTTTTTACTGACACCTGTGGCTTCTTCAGTCCAATTTTTCTTTTTCCCTCTCAATGTATTCATTTTGTATTGGCATGTCAGTTGAGAAAAATATTTGTTACATACATATTATCAATACTCTGATATCAAACCATTATAGCAGTAATGATAATTGACAGAGTGTTAGGTAGAAAAGAGACTCCAATTAACATTTTGGCATAAAGCTTGCTACAATTCTTTTGTTACTCAGATTGGTTTTTGGTGCTAGCCCTTTTGAATGCTGCATGTATGCTTTCAAGAAATAACATGTTCTTTAGCTATGTTTCTACTTAGAAGAACAATGAAAACAAAGACAAAAATACGCATTCTGGTTGATATTTTTCACAAATAATATGTTTACGTTAGGTTGAGCCATGAAATTTTCCCTTCAATTTCTATTTGTACTCAATGAGGACCAACTTACAAGCCCATCTATACTATATTTATTTTAATTGATTTTCTATGTCATCTTTTTAAAGACACAGGTACTTGAACTTTCAAAATCATATTCAAAACTTGCCTGAGTAGGATGTTATGAATGATTATCCTGTTTTACAGCTGAAGAGCCTGAGATTCAGAGAAAATAGGTGGTTCTTTCCAAATTGCTATTCTTGTGGGCATTAGAGCTAAATGTGCGCTTAATGTTCTGGGTCAATTTATTTCAAACTTTAATATACATAAGGATCACCTACAAGTCTGATTACCATGCAGATTTGGATTCATTAGTTCTGAAATGGGGTCTAAAGCTGTATTTCCGACATGCTCCCTATTGGCAATTATGCTGCTCGTCTGAAAGGTACATCTTGAGTAGCCTGAAACTGGGTAATTTACAAAGAAAATAGGTTTACTTGGCTCACAGCTCTGCAAGCTGTATAGAAAGCATAGTGGCTTCATCTTCTGGGGAGACCTCAGGAAGCTTCCAGTTATGGTGGAAGGCAAAGAAGGAGTGAGGTGTCTCACATAGTGGGAGCAGGAGGTAGAGAGAGAGAATGGGGAAGTGTTATACACTTTCAAATGACCAGAAGTCACAAGAAGTCACTCACTATCCTGAAGACACCACATCAATCATTTGTTCACTTACTTTCAATGGACACTTTTTATGTTAGGAATTTTGTAGATGTAAAGATAAATGAGAATTGTCTTCAAAGAACCCACAGTGGAATTGATAAGGTAAACTCCTCTACAAACTAGTACAATATAAATATAATGTATACACATATCCATATAAGGTAATTTTGAAGAGCAGGCAGGATTTCTTTCTTTTTTTAATCACAAAAACAACACGTGTAAAAAACTCAAAAAAAGAAAAAAAGATATATAATATAATATGAATCATAAGATATCCCCCGCTCACTATCATTCTCACTCTGTAGCAGTAACTACTTTTAACGGCTCAATTTGTGTCCTTCCAGACTTAGAAAACGAGCATAGAGATACAGTAATTTACAAAAAAAACAGCATCATACTCGACATATTGTTCAGGTTTTTTTTTCATTCAATGAACATTCTACTTTACTGCATATATGTGTGTGTCTGTGTGTGTATATACATATACACATATACATATAATTTATTTTAATGGCTACATAGTTTTCCCAATGATGACATACCATAATTTGCTTAATTCTCCCCCTACTTATATACCTTTAGCTTGCCTCAAGATTTTTCTTATTACAAATAGTGCTTCAGGGAACATATTTTTTCATATGCCCTTGTACATTTTCTGTATGATAGAAACCTAGACAGTTGATTTACTTTGGATAGGTAATGCAAAGATAGCCACCAAGAAGATGATATCAATTTAGACTCTCTTTAACTGTATTTAATATTGTCCTTTGCACCACTGAATTGCTAATACCGCATAGCATTATTAATTTTTGATATTTTCAATCTGTGACATATTAAAAATATATAAACATAAAAATATAAATAATAAGAACAATAGTTAAATGTGTATTTAAATAAACTAGCCAAATGTTTATTTATATATTTATATGATATTATATAATATACATGTTTGTATAATTTTGTTGTTTGTTTGTTTGCTTGTTTGTTTGAGACAGGGTCTTATTCTGTCACCCATGCTGAAGTGCAGTGGCCTGATCATGGCTCACTGCAGCCAGCCCCAACCTCTTGGGCTCAAGTGATCCTCCCACCTCAGCCTCCTGAGTACTGGGACTACAAGTATGTGCCACCATGCTTGGCAAATGTGTTAATTTTTTGAAGAAATGGCATCTCACTTTTACGACCAAGCTGGTCTGAAACTCCTGAGCTCAAGTGATCTCCCCACCTCGGCCTCCCAAAGTGCTAGCATTAGAGGTATGGGCCACCGTGTGGGGTCAAATATTTTTATTTCTATTTATATATTTATGATTGCCATGAGTTAAAATTAACTTTTCTATTACCAAGTTATAAACTTATTTTTCAATTTTTATTCTACCTAGAAATATGACTTTTAACATAATTGTTTTTATACCAGCCAGATATAAATTCCATCTGAGATCTGTATCCTGTTGTATGGCAAGGACATTTACCACCAAATGGTCATATCTAGAAAGTCTCTGGAGTCAAATTACTAGGCAATAACCAAGACATACGGAAGTTTTGAGAAGATTGTCATTTCTTTTACTTTTTGTTCCCTGATTACAAGAGCCTCACTGAGAGTGGGTGGTAGTCAAAGAGGCTGACTAAATACAGACCTGGATAGGGTAGAGGGAAGAGAGTGGTTAGTGAATCTTGGGCAAGGGATAGAAGATCAGATTTAATTTCTGAGACACAAGTGCTAAGGACTATGTTAGACATAAAATAAGAATCAGTTGCCTTCCCACACTGATTTAGCCCAGATGTACGTTCAGGGCATAATTATGAACAACAATAGGTATTAGAGACTTTGCCCACAGGTTTACTCTTATATCCATTGGCTTCACAATTCTAACAAAAATATATAAAATCTCTATCTGACACTGCTTATAAATCACCCAACTTTTTTTTTACGTCTTTTAGCTGATTAAAACCTATCACTTCAAATTTTCTTCAGGAACGGTTCATTTAAAAGGTTAGTTTTTTAAGGTCATACTTTTGCTCCAAGAAAATGAGGCAGTAATGGAATGCATCATTTTCTTTCTTCATAGAGAAACTGTGCAGATGCTCCCTTTTAAGCAGGTCATAATTTTATTTGGAAAATAATTGATCTGTGAGTACAGCTAATTATTATGATTTCATTTTATCTAATTCGAGTTCTATTTAGCCAATTGGTTTGTTTATATTGCCCTCTGTATTTCTTGTTATACAGAAAAAAAATCTAGTTTATGCTCTTATTTCAGTGCTTACATGGACATAAGGATTATATAAATAGCATTGCATTTAACGTGACTGCCATTTTTGTTTCATGCAGGCCATATCTAAGATTCCTAGGCAAGGAAGGGGTAAATTTTCCTCTTTACTCCAAAGGCTTTTCTTACTGAATTTCAATTATGCCTTCACAAATCTCTTTTAACATCAAGGGTAGATATTGAAAACATATCCTGTGTTCTATGTTTGTGGTTGTGTTTATGCAAATTTATTTACGTATGTTTATTATTTATTTTTATTGACTTTTGTTATCTGCTTGCTGAGGCCATGAAAACTTACACTAGTGACAGGCTATATGAGAAACTCACTGTTGCATTTTTTCTTCTAAAAGTGTTACCATTTTGTTCCATAAATGTAATAACTCTTTCCTTCCTACTGTCTGATGGCTACCGTGCTAAAGACTGGTTACCCAACTGCTACTCTAGGATTTAAGGACAAGTTTACAGGCCTCTAAATTTCGTGTTCTGAAGGCCTCCATTATACGATATAATTTCTCTAGTATGATAGAGATGTGATGTAAGGGAGCTCTGAGTAATTACACTGATCTCACAGCAATATTCAAAATGGATAGGTGAATATATGCCCCAAGTAAAGGAGTTAGGAAACTATTGCCCAGTTAGTGGGGGCACAGGTTGAATGATAAAATAGTAATAATAATAATAATAATAATAATAAATATATTTAAAGCTAAGGGACTTATGGGAGGATGTCATTTAGTCACTATTTAACTACCATAACAACCCTGTGAAGTAAATACAACTTGTTTCTGTTTCACAGATGAAAAACCCAGAAGTTCTGAGAACTGAAGTAATTTTCCCAGCTAGATAAGTGGTGGAGCCCGGATTCAAAGCTCAGACCCTGGAGCCTGGACTCCTTACATCTCTGATACTATGTTGCCTCCTAAAAACAGAAGGGAAAAAGAAAAATCACAGGCATACATGGAACACCGCCCCTCCCACATGCCTTTTCTTTTCTCTCCCACGTGAACTGTCAAGTGTTTCTGATTTTCTAACTATCTAACTAAAACCTAGAAAATCAAGCCTAAAAATAACTTTAATTACAAATTGAGTGGATCAGCACAACACCCCACCTGTGCAACCTGAGGATCATGACTCAGTCATTCTGCCCTTTGTTTTCCACATCTATAAAATGGGAACAATAACAGTATTCCACCTCATACAGTTGTTATAAGATTAAAGATTAAATGACATAATTTATAAAAATTAAACAGAATAGTGCCTGACTATGGTGAGGACTCAAAAACTGTTAGCAGTTATTATTATTAAATATCTGTGATTTGGTAATAATATGAAGGAGTTATGAAGTTTCCGTAATTGACATGAATTACTTGTGCAAAAAAAGTCTGCACCGTTGTAAGAGCTATGGAAAATAGAGACCAATGGAAATGCTGAATAACAAATAAACTCAATATGCCATTTAATTCTTTTTGCTTAAATCACTTAACAAAATCACAGCTTCCAAGGGACCATTCAGAAATCAATGTGATGTTCTGTTCCATAAACACATTTTCTAAGTTTCCTGTGAAGTCCCCAAATTATCTTCTTACCACTCAGAGCTTCTATATAAGAGGTGTCTATTTTACAAGTCTGGACAGACCACTTCCTAAAAATACTAGCAGAATCCTGGTGAACATGTTGCAAAGTCTTATGACCATCTATTCTGCAGTCCACCACTGAATAAACTTTGAGCTCCCTAAAAACTTTTCAAATTGCTATAATGAAATTTTAAAAAAAACAAATTTACTTTGAAAAAATGTATTGTTTGTGACCAACCTCTGCATTTTTAAGGTTTTTATAGGGAATTCTGTTCCTAAACAATAAAGCTCTCAATTATTGCTGCTCTCCTTTTGTTAAATAAATGTGTATCCATTGACACTGATTTTCAAATAAAAATCTAGCAGCTCATCTCTTTCTAATTAATGAAGCAATGTATCACAGCAAGTCAGTGTTCAAATACTGTACTAACAAGAATTGGAACTGGAACGGTCTTTGATCATTTTTAATTTCTCTGTGTCTAGAGTAACTGCTCTTAATTAAGATTATCCCTATTCGTCTAGTTGTAAACATAAGCTAGAATTTACCACATCTTATTATTGTAGTTTCTCCAACAGCTGTGGCAACATATATCAAATGATAAGGAGAGATTAAAAAATATTAGGACTTGATTATCTGGAAATGAAGGCAAAAGGAAATACGATTAAAATTTATGGACTCATGAAAGATACCAATATTATCAACTCAGACATATTTACTAAGTCCTGGTATGTTAATAAACTGGAAATACCTACTGAAATTAAGAAAGATCCCATTTTTTGAGACAGAAAAAGAAAAAATGTTACTTATATATGTACACTATATATAATATATACACACACACACACACGCACACACTACAATGTAGATTGCCAAAGAATTTTAGCTTCTATAACTGATCTAATCCATAGTCTTGATTCTACTGTGTAGTAAAAAAGACAGATTGGTGGAAAATGATAATTTCTGCCAAACAAAGGCATCCATGTCTATTCCAATTTCATAATAAGTAACACATACATAGCTATAGCTTTTAATATGTACCAGGTAGTATTCTAAATGCTTTACATATATAATTCATTTAACTTTCATAGTAATCTTATGAGACAGGTACTGTTATAACTCCTTTTATACTCAAAGAAACTGAGGGAAACAGCATTTAAGTGATTTTCCCATGTTCTTACATGAACATGAAGAACTGGCATTTTAGGTTACACTTTACAATAAATGTTGACACTTTCAGAATTCTGTCTTTCTTGCAGTGCCAGCATCTGTGTGTTGACAAAAGTTTACATGTCCTCATGGTGATGGAGGAGGGGGTACATGTGTATACACCCTATCTTCCAAGTCTTCACAGGTTTCTGACGTAATACACTTCATTGACTTAATTTTCTCTCTGGGCATCAAAATGCCATCAGCTGTTGATATGCATAAATAATAAATCTCGAGATTTGTTCTGTTACTATTCCCAGGCAGGTTTGTTTTAGGCACTGGTGATACGTCACTGATGTTGCAATCATGGGCACTGGTAATAACGTTGGGTATCCAGCTCCACACCCTCCCCACAGAGTCGCAATATCAGGGAGGCTACAGAAGCATGTCTACCGCCCCACTTCATCACGAGTAAGATATTCACCTCAAAGCCTTCTTATAGGGCAAGGTTGTCCTACAAAGTCACTTCTTAAAGGGAGTAAGGAAAGTAAAGGGGCTGGAATCTCTGTGCCACTCTTCTTCTAGAGTCAAATTTAGGCGCATGGGAAACATAGAAATCGCTGCCATGCCAAACTTGTCTGTATGGAGAAATCAGGAGGATCTTCTCTCACTTATCCCTACCTTTGTGTACTATCCAAGATTTTCCTTTAGGAACTATAGTTGGCATCAATTAGTTTCTCTCTCTGACTGTGATGACCTTCTTAAACATCTTATTTTCTTTCTTCCCTCGGCTGCATTTAGCCTTTTTCTTCCCATTGGCAATGATGATGGAAAAATAATGGGCTACTGAAAAGAGAAGCACAATAGGAGTTATTTCAAAAAATATTATCCTTATAAAGTTTATGTATACACTTAACTGTTAATATTGTATATAATATTCCATTTTTAATATTGGTTACTACATCAAAGTGTGGGATTGGGAGGTGGAGATGGATTTAGAGAAGAAAGAGGGGACTATTTACATCACTTTATAAATCTCTATGCAATTTCACTTGATACAACAAGCATGTGCTCCTTTAGTAACTTTTTTTAAGGTAAATAAAGAAAGAAACTAAAGGTAGAGAATAATTAAGTGGTCAAACAAAAATATTACTTAAAATAGCAGATAGCAAACTTTCAGAATGCTCAGGAAGGGAAATGAAGAAATAAAACACAGATTTATGAAAAAGAAAATTATTTTTATGTAATCATGGATAAACATATCTGTAATGGGACATATAATATAAGATATTAAATAACTAAATAACAGATATAATGTTAAAATTGTTGAACTTCTTTTGGTGCTTTTGCCAGAGATAACCTCTTGGAATAAAAGGACTGTCATATGAACTCGAATAAAATTGTTAAGTTTCATAAATGAATTTTCTATCCCATTCAGAAAATTCCAAGTGCCATTTGTGAAATTTACCTTCAGATGTTGATTGACAATATGAAAAGAAGTGTCCAGAAGATATAGTACAAAAGGTAGCTGAGATAGAGCAGGCATTGATATAGATTCAAAATCAGAAAGCGTAGCATTTTGGCAGCAATGTGGAAAAAGTGTTTCAAGTGGGAGACCGTGATAAAATATGTCAAATACTCCTGATATTCCAAGAGTTTTCTTAGATTAAAATATCTGGTGCTGAGGACTTCATTTCTGAAAATCAAGCACAGTATCTTCAAGCAAAAATCCCAAAGGAAAAGATATCAAATAGAGCAGCTTGGACTGAAACCCCAAAGGGAAACAATCATGAACCTCCATCTGCTTGTCTTGGAGGCTGATACCAACTTGATAAAATATAATAGTCAGAGCCACAGCAGGGCTGATATGATGGGGTTTTCTAAATATTGAATGATGTCATCTGCAAACAGAGACAATTTGACTCCCTCTCTTCCTATTTGAATACCCTTTATTTCTTTCTTTTGCCTGATTGCCCTGGCCAGAGCTTCCAATAGAATGTTGAATAGGAGTGGTGAGAGAGGGCATCCTTGTCCTGTGCTCATTTTCAAAGGGAATGCTTCTGGCTTTTGCCCATTCAGTCTGATATTGGCTGTGGGTTTGTCATAAATAGCTCTTATTATTTTGAGATATGTTCCAGTATGTAGCTACCACATATAAGTGAGAACATGTGGTATTTGGTTTTCTGTTTCTGCATTAGTTCACTTAGCATAATGGCCTCCAACACCATTAATGTTGCTGCAAAGGACATAATCTCATTCCCTTTTGGCTACATAGTATTCAATGGTATATATTTACCACACTTTTAAAATCCAGTCTACCATTGATGGACATTTGAGATGATTCTATTTCTTTGCTTTTGTGATTAGTGCTGCAATGAACATATGCATGCATGTGCCATTATGATAGAATTAATTTTATTCCTTTGAGTATATATCCAGTAATGAGATTGCTGGGTGAAATGGGAGTTCTGTTTTTAGGTATTTGAGAAATCACCACACTGTCTTCCAAAAGGTCTGAAATAATTTACACTCCCATCAACAGTGTATAAGCATCCCTTTTTCCCCCCAACTTCTCTAGCTTCTGTTATTTTTAGACTTTTTAATACTAGCTTTCCTCACTGGTGTGAGATGGTATCTCATGGTTTTGATTTGCATTTCTCTAATGATTAGAGATGTTAAGCACTTTTTTCATATAGTTGCTGTTCACATATATGTCTTCTTTTAAAAAGTGTCTACTATTGTCTTTACTCATCTTTTTAATGGGCTTGTTTGCTTTTTTCTAGTTAATTTGTTCAAGTTCCTTATAGAGTTTGAATATCAGACTTTGTCAGATCCATAGTTTGCAAATAGTTTCTCCCATACTGTAGATTGTCTGTTTACTCAGTTGATAGTTTCTTTTGATGGGCAGAAGCTCTTAAGTTTAACTAGATTCCATTTGTCAATTTTTGCTTTTCTTACAACTGCTTTTGGTGTCTTTGTCATGAAATATTTGCCAGGTTATATGTCCAGATAGCATTGTCTAGGTTTTCTTCTAGAATTGCTATAGTTTAAAGTTTTACATTTAAGTCTTAAATAGATCTTGAGTTGACTTTTGTATATACTGAAAGGAAGGGCTCCAGTTTCAGTCTTCTGTATGTGATAAACCAGTTATCCCAGCACCATTTATTGAATAAGGATTCTTATCCCCATTGCTTGTTTTTGTTGACTTTGTCAAAGATCAGATGACTTTAGGTATGCAGCAATATTTCTGGGCTCCCTTTTCTGTTCCGTTGGTCTATGTGCCTGTTTTTGTGCCAATATCATGTTTTTTTTTTTAATTACTGTTGCCTCGTAGTGTAGTTTGAAGTTGGGTAACGTGATGCCTCCAGCTTTGTTTATTTTGCTTAGGATTGCCTTGGCTATTTGGGTTCTTTTTTGGTTCCATATGAATTCTAAATTAGTTTTCCTAATTCTGTGAGGAATGTCATTGTTAGTTCGATAGGAATAGCATTGAATCTGTAGATTGCTTTTGGAAGTGTGGCCATTTTAACAATATTGATTCTTGCTATCCGTAAGTATGGAAAAATTTTCCATTTGTTTGCATCATCTGATTTTTTTGAGGAGTGTTTTATCATTCTTCTTATAGAGATCTTTCACCTCTCTGCTTATCTGTATTCCTAGGTATTTTATTCTTTGTGTGGCTATTATGAATGGGATTGTGTTCTTGATTTGGCTCTCAACTTGGACTTTATTGGTGTATAGAAATATTACTGATTAGTGTACATTGATTTTGTATCCTGAAACTTTGCTAAGGTTATTTATCAAATCAAGGAGCCTTTGGGCAGAGACTATGGGGTTTTCTAGGTATCGACCATGTCATCTGAAAACATGCATAGTTTGACTTCTTCTCTTCCTATTTGCAAGCCTTTTGTTTCTTTGTTCTGCCTGATTGCTCTAGCAAGGACTTCCAGTCCTCTGTTGAATAGGAGTGGTGATAGTGAGCATTCTTGTCTTGTTTTGAGTCTTGAGATGAATGCTTCCAGCTTTCGTCCATTCAGTACGATGTTGGCTGTGAGTGTGTCATAGATGGCTCATATTATTTTGAGGTATGTTCCTTCAATACCTAGTTTGTTGAGGGCTTTAACATGAAGGAATGTTGAATTTTATTGAAAGTCTTTTCTGTGACTACTGAGATGCTCATGTAGATTTTGTTTTAAGGTCTGTTTTTGTGATAAACTACATTGATTGATTTGCATATGTTTAATTCATCTTCCATCCCAGGGATGAAGCCTAATTTATTGTGGTGAATTAGCTTTTGTATGTTCTGCTGGATATGGTTGGCTAGTATTTTGTTGAGGATATTTGCATGTATGTTCATCAAGGATATTGGCCTGATATTTTCTTTTTTTTTTTTTTTTTGTTCTGTCTCTGCCGGGTTTTGGTATCAGGATGATGCTGACCTCATAGAATGATGTAAGGAGGAGTTCCTCTTCAATGTTTTGGAATAGTTTCAGTAGGAATGTGCCAGCTCCTCTTTATATATCTGATAGAATTCAGCTATAAGTCCATCTAATCCTAGGCTTTTTCTGGTTGTTAGGTTTTTTATTACTTATTCAATTTTGGAACTAATTATCATTCTGTACAAGGATTCCACTTCCTCTGTTTTTTTCTTTGGAGATTGTATGTTTCTAGGTATTTATCCATTTCTTCTATGTTTTTTCAATTTATCTGATAAAGGTATTCATATAGTCTCAGGGTTTTTTGTCTCACTATGGGGTCATTGGTATTGTCCCCTTTGTCATTTCTGATAGTGTTTATTTGGATCTTCTATCTTTATTTCTGCATTAGTCTAGCTAGTAACTACCATTTTTGAAGGTATCTGGAGTCAGTAGTGTGGAGACACAATCTCCAAGAAGACTACAGAGTTGAGTCATTCTGAATAGATATTAGGAAGCCGATTGGGCACAAGATGGGGAGGAGTCAGGAAAATGTCTGGAATCTAAGTAAAATCTGATAATACCTTCTTACATGCCTTTCCTATCTGCTGTCTGAAATGCTTACTTAAAATGGCTTCCTAAAAAAGGAGATATTAGAGCCAGATTTTGAAAGGTGAGTAGGAGCTCACAATGTAAAAACAGTGGTTTCACAAAAGAAAGATACAATCTTCATTTATCCCCATCTTTGTCACCCAAGGGGTACTGAGTGGCCCGTTCTGAGCCACCAAAAATCTTAAACCAAACTCCATCACACATGACTCTTTCCTGTATTTTACTTCTCTGCCTACAGTGCTTCATCCCTAAGGCAAGACTGCTGTATTTCCTGTGCCAGCTAGAATGTACATACTAGTGTACTGGGCCTGTATCTGTTTTGCTCACCACTATATCCTCAATGCCTAGATTACTGTCCTAATAAATAGTAGATAGTTTTTGAATGAATAAATAAATGAATGAATCAATATAATCACACATTCTATTGCAGCTTTTAACACTTCCACAAAAACATCTCTTCATTTCCGTCACTTGAAATTAATGGTTTATTTTATTCACAATATGACTAAGATTCATGAGACATGTCTCGTGCCTGTGATTCATGAGACAAGAAAGGTGACCGAAGAGTAATCAACAGAATTGTTGGCAAGCTTGGTATATGCTTTTAAAAAATAAGCAATGACTTTGAAATACCAAGCTGAATGTTCAAAAGCTGAAATTAGATAACCAAATCTGTCAGGGGCACAGTGAAGATCAGTGTATCTGTAGATGAGACCTACAGTATCACAGATAAAATGCTGGATGATTCAGCAGCACTCTGTAGGTTACCATTCATCATTGTTATAGCATCTGAGAGGTTTAAATGTGATTAATTTCTACTATTTTAGCTATTTTAAGTCATATATCATATTTTATAGATCAGACAACTCATTTTTGAGTGGAGTTTATAGCAAGAGAAAAAAAGCCAAAAACACAACCACACAACAAAAACCTCTCTGATACAGCCTAGGTCCTATTTTAATTTTTTTTTAAATAACTCAATGTTAGGTACTATTTTTTTCCTGATTCTTAGTATTTGTATATTTTAAATATGTGTCATTAATGTTTTCAAAAGCTGATTATTTAAATATTAATATCAGAAGTACAATTAAGGCACAATTTGGTATCTTTTTAATGATTTTTTAAGCTTTAATTTAATAAGAATTGACAATTCACATTTATTTACTTCTTTCACAATAATTTTGTTTTGGGACTCATGTGATGGGTAAAAGGCAATGAAAGGGGAAGTGAAAGCTTGATCCTACCTACAATGCACTTTATTTTCTCAGCATTCTATAGAACCTCAAGTTTCAGAGGTGTCTTCCTCTGCAAAATGAGGGGTTTGTATTAAATTATCTCTAAATTCCTTTCTAGCTCTAATATTCTGTGGCCTAAACCCTCCTCTGAAGTCTTTTGCTTTCTTTTGTCTACTACACCTATCATTAGTTCTGAGGTGAAAGTTGCCGTTTAACTTGTATCATTTTACCCTTTGAAAGTCCAAATCATATACTTTTAGAAGATAAAACATGCTGGCTTTTATCAGGAAAGAAGCATAAAAATCACTTTCACAGGTTACATGCCAGTTTGAGAAAAAAAAAAAAGGAATGCTAGTGAAAACATGGTAAATAATAAAAAAATTAAAATAAAATTTCTTTTTCTGTCTGGAAAGTCCAATATTGAATATCATGTATTAGTGAAGTAAATATCACTTTATAAAGTGCCTAGGAACTATATCTTCAAATTAAAATACACTTCTGGGAAATGGTAAGAGGGACTTTTTTTTTTTTTTTTTTTTTTTTTTTCCGATAAGGAGTCTCCCTCTGTCGCCCAGGCTGGAGTGCAGTGGTGCGATCTCCTCTCACTGCAAGCTCTGCCTCCCAATTCAAGCCTTTCTCCCGCCTCAGCCTCCCAAGGAGCTGGGACTACAGGCGCCTGCCACCATGCCCGGCTAATTTTTTTTGTATTTTTAGTAGAGTCGGGGTTTCACCTTGTTAACCAGGATGGTCTCGATCTCCTGACCTCGTGATCCACCCATCTCGACCTCCCAAAGTGCTGGGATTACAGGCGTGAGCCACCGTGCCCAGTCTTTTTTTTTTTTTTTTTTTTTGAGTTGGAGTCTCACTGTCGCTCAGGCCAGAGTGCAGCGGTGCCATCTTGGCTCACTGCAACCTCCACCTCCTCGGTTTATGCCATTCTCCTGCCTCAGCCTTCCCAGTAGCTGGGACTACAGGCCACCACGCCCGGCTAATTTTTTGTATTTTTAGTAGAGACGGGGTTTCACCGTGTTAGCCAGGGTGGTCTGGATCTCCTGACCTCGTGATCCAGCCGCCTCGACCTCCCAAAGTGCTGGGATTACAGGCGTGAGCCACCGTGCCCATCCCAAGAGGGACTTTTTGCCCCTTTCCCTGCAAGGTTCAGTAATAAAAACAGACTTATGGTATTTCATGATAAACAATTACTCAGCTACCTCAGCAGCAACACTCTCAGCCCTTCAGTTGGACTTTCTACATGAAAAAACTATTAGCTACTTCTGGATGAAGCCAGGTCCATTATAGTGTCAAATACTGTGTTCTAATTCTCAAAAAGACTAAAAAGGTCTCCATGTTATGCAGCATGCAGGTGGAGGAAGAAGCAACAAAGGAGAAGAAGAGAAAAGTGGAGGGGAATGGGGTCAGAGAGAGAAAGAGAGAGAGAAATTTGTACTTGGATGTCTCTATTTCTTTTGTGAAGTAGCAGGAGAGATCCTATGGCAAAAGAGGGGGAGATAGAGATGGAAGACTTAAGGGATTTTGAGGAGAGTTGTAAAGGATACAGGTGACCTCTTAGAAGATTAGGTGAGGCATTAACTAGGGACTTGTTTCTGTCCTCACGCACACTTGGAATACATAAAATTGAAAGAGGTGATAAATGTATTGGTTAATTTAACTGTGGTAATTACTATATAATGTATACATATATCAAATCATCACATTGCATACCTTGAATACAGTTTTTGTTAATTATTAAATATTTTAAAATAAAACAAATAATTGACAGTTAAAAAAAACCCTCAGATTCCTTGACATAAAGTGCCTAGAATTTAAAAGAGGTAGTAAAGGCAAAAACATATGAAAGAATTAAATAAATACAGGTAGTAAAACACTGAGCATTACAAGTCATGTTACATGATTTAATTTCTCTAATAATTCAAATATATTATCTAATTCCAGCTTGAAAACCTGCAGTGAAATGTGGATTAACTTGAACCAATCTTGTGTCCTTTCATTCACTGACAGATTCTACATCTGTTTCTTCCAGTAGACTCCATGTTGAAAAGCAGCTGGTCACAAAATCTTCTTCCTTGACTGTTTGTGTCATCGCTTCAAAATAAATAACAAAAAAGAAAGCAGTACTTAATAATTGCACAGCAAGGGTTGTTATGATGTTTTCTGCTATGAGACTAGGACTCTGATTTTCATCTTGCTTTATACCCTGTGGAGCTAAACCAAGCCTACAATTCCCATTAACTTCAAAAAGAGCCCATACTCAGATGTGCTTAGCAGGGGTTTTGAACAAGAAAATAAAATAAACAACAACAACAAAAGAAATAAATAAAAAAGGAATCTTCTTATTCCATAAAAGATAATTTTTCCTTTATGGATTATCTGTTCTTGTTGGTCTCAGAGATTACTGGCATTATCATTTTGTGCTACACTTGTACATTTTGATCTATGTAACAGAAACAGTGAAGAATAGATAGAGTAGAAACACATTAGCATAGGTGTTAGTGCAGAATGCTTATAAAACTATCAAAACTTAATGGTCCCTATCAGCAAATAAGTTTGTGACAGTGGCAATGAATCAATTGTAATCAGTTTTTTTTTTCCCTGGGTGGTGAAGCATATTTAAACAACAGATTTCTTGTCTTCTTTTATACCTAAAATATTTGAGCTCTGTTTATAGACAGCTTCATATCGAAATGGAAGCTATTTGTTGGAATAACCAATGGAAAACAAAGGATTGCTCATATTATAGAGAAAGTTGTGCCAAAGCTGGTCTACATTAATACTGAGGACAGAATTAGATAACATGTTTGTTATCTTTCATATTACCTAACTCTCCTGGGCTTCTGATATCAAACAAAGGTGAATTTTGCTCATCTTAGGAAAAATCACTTGAAGGAAATGATGGCTATTCTTGTAATTCAAGTGATACATTATGATGGCTTCAACTAAAGTGGTACAGGGAGACTGAGAGAATTAGATGGATAAAGGATATATTTGGGAATTAGAATTGACAAGACTTTTTTGTGAATGGAGTATAAAATAAGAAATAAAAAGACCAGTGAAGGATGATTTACATGGCATCCTAAGGCTATTTAAATATTAAATAATGTATGTAAAGTGCTTAGTAAAATGAAAGTGCAAATAAAATTAGCTATTATTGTTAAAACTTCAAAAAGGAGTTCCCACAGGATCACTATAATATTGGTCATGAAGCAAATGGATGTTTTTTCCTGTTCTCATGGGGATACTGCTGTCATATTGGCAGTTTCTCTCAGATTGTGTAATGACATCCAGAAAATAACACAATGAGTTTTCAATTTCCATTTACCCCCGTGGAGTGATGCATTTAGAAGCAAATCAACCAATGCAAGAAGACTTCAGAAACGGAATACTTCAAATAACTTACCATATAAAAGTGATCTAGCATTACTAATTTACATGAGTTTTCAAAACCTTTCTGCTATAGTCTCTTATGGGAGATAGTTAAGGAAATGTATAAATGGAACTGGTTAAGCAAAGAAACTAAATGTGCAGTCTGTAATGTGGTAGAATAACTACTGACTTTATATTATTTGTTATTACCCTCCAACTTAATGATAAGTAGCTACATTACAATTTTGCAGTAGACTGTTATTCATTGTCATATAACACTATACAGAATATGTTTCCCATGAGCATTAGAAATCTACCTTGAATAGTTAATTGACAAGATAAGGTCAATTTGCAGTATATAGAAGAAGCATAGAAGTGCACATAGCCAGGAGAAAATGTGCCACCCTCTTCTGGTGGTATTTAACAATGATTTTTTAAAGCTGACCTACTTATCTACAGTTTTACAAGACAGGGCTAGCTTAAAATTAAGAATGACAACAAATAATTCTGGAGGCCAAGATCAAAATAAATTTTGTGATAAAATGTGTTATTAATTACAAAATAAAATTTTGTCAAGGGAGTTTATGATTGCTCTTCCTGGCCACTGTTGTGTTGTTTTTTGATTTTTTGTTTGAGAACATAGGCACCCCTTGAAATTACAGTGTATCAATCAGGGTTCTACAGAGGGACAGAACTAATAGGATATATGTATATATAAAATAAAGTTTATTAGGGAGACTTGGCTCACATGATTAGCCAGCAAAGTCCCACAATCTGGGGAAGAAAGAAGCCGGTAGTGGCTCAGTCTGAGTCTGAAGCCCTCAAAACGAGGGAGGCCCATAGTGCCGCTTTTATTCTGTGGCAAAACCAGGGAAGCTGACAGTGCATCCTTCAGTCTGTGGCCAAAGGCCCAAGAAGCCCTGGAAAGCCACTGGTGCAATTCCCAGAGTCCAAAGGCCAAAGAACCTGGAGTCTTATATCCAAGGGCAGGAGGAGCATCCAGCACAGGAAAAAGAAGGAAGCCAAAAAACTCGGCAAGCAAGGTTATCTCATCTTCTGCCTGCTTTGTTCTAGCCATGCTAGCAGCTGATTGGATGGTGTCCACTCACATTGAGGGTGGGTCTTCCTATCCCAGTCTACTGGCTCAAATGTCAGTCTTCTCTGGCAACACCCTCACAGACACATCCAGAAACAATACTTTACTAGCCATCTAGGCAACTTCCAATCTAATCAAGCTGACACTTAATATTAATCATCACAAATAGTACCAAAAATAATAACAATATTAAGAATGACAATATTTAACTTTCCCTGAAGGATATTCATATAATAGACACTGATCTAAGATGCTTTCATGTATTATAGCCCCATTTTACAAATGTAAAATGTAAAATGTTATTCTGCCTTCCTTGAATATGGTGACAGCGTCAAACATTAGAGTGAGCATCATTTTCTGGGAGCATATAAGCCTAGAGAGCAATCATAGCTCTGGGTGGCAATCACAGTGTCACTTGTTACCAAGTCCCCACTCAGTTGCATTCCTGGGATGGTAAAACCCCCAGAATTCTCCCTTTATACAGTTTCTACTATCACTTATACTGCCACTATTACTGATGCTTATAGTGTTTTATTCATCTTCACTACTTTAGTTGCTGCCATCTGAACAGATGCTTCTGCCCCTGCACCTTCAGGTTGCCTGTGTCCTCTTCTCCTATTCCCCTGCTATCACCTAAGTCCATCTCCAAATTATCAGCTGATATTTTCCCAAATTGTGTGGCATCCATGTTATCAATTTTTCCTTGAAAAGGATCTCAGTATTAGACATAATTTGGAAACAGTTAAAGATATTTTTACTATAATAATTATTGGATTCTTTAATTAAATGATTATATGTTTTAAATCTACGAGATAGTGGGATCACATTAATTCTTCCCTAAAGCTTTTTAAACAATGGGATAGTTTGATTTTCTCAGAAAAAAATATTAATTTATCCTGAGAAACAAGTTCTACAGAATACAGTTAGAGAAATATTGTATCTTTATAGCTATAAGCCTTACATTTAACTGGTATTTTTCGGCACTTACATGGAACAAGAAAAACTTGTTTGGAAGCCAGGTGTGGCTGCAGTCCATCTGTTAGCAACCTCTGCATTTGATCATTGGAGTACAGACTCTCATAATTACCTAACTTTCTCCTACTTCTTTAACAATGATTTGGCCACAGGGACTGTACCTCTTTTAGGCCCTCCATAGGTATTCTGGTTCTTTCCCGTTTATGGCCACTAAGAAAAGGAAATTAGAAACAGTTTTCTAACAGTTAAGGAAGAGGACATTTAAGAACATCCAATGATTCCGTGAAAGGTATTCTTACTTACTAGACATCAACCAGTGCTTTAAAGCTAGGAATATTATCTTTTGTTTGCTCCTACTAATGAGTGAGTTCCCTGCTTTTCTGGAGACCCAGGGTGCTTTCTGATATAGTGCTTCAGGTGCTCCTTTGATACACCAGAGTTTCCAAGGTAGGTATGAAGATTAGATACACACAGTGATCTATGCTCAGTATCTGAAGGCATATAAGAATATAATTATCTTCTATTCCACCCATCTCACTCCTTGATTCAATGATGGAAGTAAGTAATATAAAAGGAAAATTTAACATTTATGAAAATTTGCCATGACTTAAGGCCATTTTGTGGCCATATCTCACTTAATACTCATGAAAATCTTTGTTTGGTGATCCACTATTACAGCTGAGGAAACTGAATCTTAAATAATTTAGGAATTTTATGATAAAGGGGTTAACACCACTGACCCCACAAAAATACAAACAACAATTAGAGAATACTACAAATACTTCTATGCAAGTGAACTAGAAAATCTAGAGGAAATGGATAAATTCCTGGAAACCTACACTCTCCCAAGACTGAGCCAGGAAGAAGTTGAATCCCTGAATAGTCCAATAACAAGTTCTGATTGAGGCAGTAATAAATAGCCTACCAAACAAAAAAAAAAGCCAAAGACCAGAAGGATTTACAGCTAAATTCTACCAGTGGTACAAAGAGGAGCTGGTACCATTGCTTCTGAAACTATTCCAAACTACTGAAAAGGAGAGATTTCTTCCTAACTCATTTTATGAGGCTAGCATCATCCTGATACCAAAACCTGGCAGAGATACATGAAAAAAAGAAAACTTCAGGCCAATATCCCTGATGCAAAAATTCTCAATAAAATACTGGTAAACTGAATCCAGCAGCACATCAAAAAGCTTATCCACCACGATCAAGTCAGCATCATCTCCAGGATGCAAGATTGGTTCAACATATGCAAATCAATAAATGGAACTTATCACATAAACAGAACTAAAGGCAAAACCACATGATTATTCAAGAGATGCAGAAAAGGTCTTCGATAAAAATCAACATCCCTTCATGTTACACACTCTCAATAAAGTAGGTGTTGATGAAACATGCCTCAAAATAATAAGAACCATTTATGGCACACCCACAGCCAATATCATACTGAATGGGCAAAAGCTGGAAGCATTCCCCTTGAAAACTGGCACAAGACAAGGATGTCCTTTCTCACCACTCCTATTCAACATATTATTGGAAGTTCTGTACAGGGAAATCAGGCAAGAGAAAGAAATAAAGGGTATTCAAATAAGAAGAGAGGACGTCAAACTGTCTCTGTTTGCAGATGACATGATCCTATATCTAGAAAACCCCACTGTCTCAGCCCAGCTTCGTAAGCTGATAAGCAACTTCAGCAGTCTCAGGATACAAAATCAATGTGCAAAAATCACAAGCATGCCTATACACCAACAATAGACAAGCCAAGAGTCAAATCATGAATGAACTCCCCTTCACAATTGCTGCAAAGAGAATAAAATACCTAAGAATACAGCTAACAGAGGATGTGAAGGACCTCTTCAAGGAGAACTACAAACCACTGCTCAAGGAAATCAGAGAGGACACAAACAAATGGAAAAACATTTCATGCTCATGGATAGGAAGAATCAATATCATGAAAATGACCATAATGCCCAAAGTAATTTATAGATTCAATGCTATTCCCATCAAACTACCATTGACAGCCTTCATATAAATAGAAAAAAACTACTTTACAATTCATATAGAACCACAAAAGAGCTTGTATAGTCAACACAATCCTAAGCCAAAAGAGCAAAGCTGGAGGCATCATGCTACCTGACTTCAAACTAAACTACAAGGCTACAGTCACCAAAACAGCATGGTACTGGTACTAAAACAGACACATAGGCCAATGGAAAAGAATAGAGATCTCAAAAATAAGACCACACATTTACAACCATCTGATCATTGACAAACATGACAAAAACAAGCAATGGGGAAAGATTCCTATTTAATAAAAGGTGCTGGGAAAATTGGCTAGCCATATGCAGAAAGTTGAAACTGGACCCCTTCCTTACATCTTACAGAAAAATTAACTCAAGATGGATTGAAGACTTAAATGTAAAACTCAAAATTATAAAAACCCTAGAAGAAAATCCAGGCAATACCATTCAGGACATAGTCATGGGCAAAGATTTCATTATGAAAATGTTAAAAGCAATTGCCAAAAAAGCAAAAATTGACAAATAAGATCTAATTAAACTGAAGTACTTCTGCACAGCAAAAGAAGCTATCAATAATGTGAAGAGACAACCTACAGAATAGGATAAATTTTTTGCAATCTACCCATCTGAAAAAGGTCTAATATCCAGTACCTACAAGGAACTTTAACAAATTTACAAAAAAAAAAACTATTAAAAAGTGGGCAAAGAACATGAACAGACACTTCTCAAAAGAAGACATTTATACAGCCAACAAACATAAGAATAAAAGCTCAACATCACTGATCATTAGAAAAATGCAAATCAAAACTACAATGAGATACCATCTCATGCCAGTCAGAATGGTGATTATTAAAATGTCAAAAAACAACAGATGCTGGCAAGGCTGTGAAGAAATAGGAATGCTTTTACACTTGATGGGAATGTAAATTGGTTCAACCATTGTGAAAGACAGTATGGCAATTCCTCAAAGACCTAGAACCAGAAATACCATTTGACCCAGCAATGCCATTACTGGGTATATACTCAAAGGAATATAAATCATTCTACTATAAAGATACATGAAGACATATGTTCACTTTAGCACTATTCACAATAGCAAAGAAATGGAATCAACCCAAATGCTCATCAATGATAGACTAAATAAAATGTGGTACTATACACCATGGAATACTATGCGGCCATAAAAAGGAATGAAATCATGTCCTTTGTCAGGGCGTGGATGGAGCTGGAAGCCATTATCCTCAGCAAACTAATGCAGGAACAGAAAATCAAGCACTGCATATTCTGACTTATAAGTGGGAGCTGAACAATGAGAACATATGGACACAGGGAGGGGAACAACACATACTGGGGCTTGTTGGGGAGGGAAAGGGGGAGGGAGAACATCAGAAAAAATAGTTAATTCATGAAAGGCTTAATACCTAGGTGATTGGTTGATAGGTGCAGTAAACCATCATGACACACGTTTACCTATGTAAAAAATCTGCATGACCTGCACATGTATCCCAGAACTTAAAATAAAATAAAAATTTAAGGCCTGGCGTGGTGGCTCAAGCCTGTAATCCCAGCACTTTGGGAGGCTGAGGCGGGCGGATCACGAGAGGAGATCGAGACCATCCTGGCGAACATGGTGAAACCCCTTCTCTACTAAAAATACAAAAAAATTAGCCGGGAGTGGTGGCGGGCGCCTGTAGTCCCAGCTACTCGGGAGGCTGAGGCAGGAGAATGGCATGAACCAGGGAGGCGGAGCTTGCAGTGAGCCGAGATCGCGCCACTACACTCCAGGCTGGGCGACAGAGCGAGGCTCCATCTCAAAAAAAAAAAAAAAAAAAAAATTAAAAAAAGAGAATTTAGGGATTTTGTTCAAAGTCACATATCTCCTATGTAACATAAGTAGTCTGTGCTTTTTCTGTAATTAAATCATGTTTAATTAACATATTCAGCATTGTATTAATACACAGTGCTTATTTTTTCCTGTTTATATTTTTAAAATTTTTATTAGTTTCAAGTTTGCATTAGAATGAAAATCTTTTCCAGATTTAATTGAATATCACTGGAGTCAAAAGCAAACCTGAAAGGCTATAACTGTAGAAAATTCTGTTAATAGACAAACAGCAACTGAGGTGTGAATAATTTAAAGAAAATTTCTGGTGAATTCTGGCATGCAATTTCTGTCTTTACTGTGGTCTAAATTTCAAATTAATGTTAAACCTACTAATGAAATAGCATTATGAAAGCTTAATTTAGAAGACTCTAAGAACAGTTTGTCCAGTTTCTTTCTCTAATTTCTCCCTCTGATATTACCTATCAGATATTTCAACATGAAAACACAGTGCTGCTCTTTCAAACTGATATTAAGTATCATTCAAAGTAAAGGTGACTTCTCTCAGATCATCCTGACATCAGCAAAGTATTAGTGTGTACACTGAAAAGGATTTCCTTTCCAGGCTCCAAGACACTTTCAAAATTTGAGAATGCTAGCAAAGCAGACAGCTCTGAAGGGCAGATACCAACTGCAGGCAATCTAAGGAGATTTATCAGTGACACACCTTTATGGATATAATTGATATTTTTCTGGAATACTGTCCCTAAAATACAGCTTTACCTAATTCTCAAGTTCATACAGCATATTTTGACTAGTGTCATTGTTTCTACAACAAAATGTATAGTATAAAACCATTAAGTTCTCTACTGCGGAACCTCACTGGTTTTCTGTCTGGTCAGGCCCAGGGCATTTGTGTCTCCTTTCTTTGTTCCCATAGGCTGAAAGAATCCAATACACCTCAGTAACAGAAAAGTATAGTGAAAAGCTTTGAATTTAAACCATCTGAATCATGTCTCTGACATTTATCAACTATATGCTTTGGGGCAAATCCCTTAACGACTGTCAACTTAGTTTCCTAAATGTAAAACAAAGATAATGCTTACTATGTTGTTTTATAATTAAGGAAAATAATGCTTATAAATGCCTAGCACAATACCTAACACACTAGGCTAATATACAATCAATATTAGGTTTCAACTACTTAGTCTTTTTCTAATGGTTCTTCCCTTTCCCCTCCTAGATGCCCCCATGGCTTCTACCCTAGAAAGTTCTACCACCATCCCTGTTTCACCAAACTTCTGTTTTGCTGCCAGAGATTTCTCTCCTAAGATTCAGAATATCCTACCCTAAATAGTTTTTGGCACATTCATGTTTCTTAGAAACCTTTTAGATCTTGGCCCTGAAAGGTCTACTCTTTCCCCTGGCCCATTTGTTCTTACCCTCAGTTGATGGCTGGCTGCTTATTTACCAGGTTACTTCTACCCATGAGTGAAGCTCAATTTCTTATTGTTATAAATTTAAGTGTGAGCTAAAACCCTTTGAAAGTCACATTGCTCCAATATCTAGCACATCTTTTATCTTTCCTAAGAGCCTGTTTCGTCAAATCTTATTTCCCTTATACTGCCCTATTCATATGTCTTTTTCTGGCTCAAAGAGCCATAATTTTATTTCTGAACTGAAAGCCAATGCTAGTTTAAACCCCATCTGCAGAGTCTAAATGGCTGACATAGCCTGAGACAAATAAGTGAATTAACCTCTGTGGGTTTATGTTATTGTTACCAACTTTTCCACAACCACTTAAATGACTCATTGAAGTATGCTATAAACCCCAAAATAACTTTCAGAATTATATTTTGTAACAAAAAATATCTTAGGCATAAGGAAACATCAATGCACGTGATATCTATCAAGGTAAAAAATATAAAATTATAATTAGTCACATAGTCACAGGTAAGAGTAAAAGTACACACACAGATTAGTTTAAACTAAAACAGCCATCTTCATCTCTCCTATTTTTTTTTGAAAGAAAAACAAACCA
Source organism: Homo sapiens (assembly GCF_000001405.40). Taxonomy (NCBI): domain Eukaryota; kingdom Metazoa; phylum Chordata; class Mammalia; order Primates; family Hominidae; genus Homo; species Homo sapiens. Next base: position 88,108,264 of record NC_000023.11, on the reverse strand, counting down.
AAACACCTTATAAAGCTTAACAGTAACTGATTTTGGAATTGAATTTTTAATTTAAATACGTTAGAGGATTGAGTGCCAGAAGGTTACGATATGGTGTGCCACCCATGTGCGAAAATTTTCTCATTTGTAAACAGACACCCCCCAAAATTAGAGAAATGTTCGAATTAAAGAATGTACAGCTATTAATGCTCTTAATGATTACCTTATAAGCCTTGCTATACTAGGTGATTAATAATTTAATTAACTGATTTTTATTAAATTTATATTTATTTATTTTGAGACGGAGTTTCACTCTTGTTGTCCAGGCTGGAGTGCAGTGGCACAATCTCGGCTCACTGCAGCTTCTGCCTCCCTGGTTTAAGCAATTCTTCTACCTCAGCCTCCCCAAGTAGCTAGGATTATAGGCATGCACCACCATGCGCAGCTAATTTTTTTGTAGTTTTAGTAGAGACGGGGTCTCACCATGTTGGTCAGGATGGTCGGTGATTAATAATTTTTAATCCAACTTAAATAAATAAAAATTGAATGATTTTCAAGATCATGCATGCAAGTTACGAAGTTAGTAACAAAGCTATGATTCCAACTCAGGGCTTTTTATCATAGTCCAGATTTTTAAAAGATATACCACATTGCCTATTTAGATAACTTTAATAAACAAAGGCAATCATTACTTACAGATATTGCTACTCATTTTGTGCCAGATTTGATCTACTGACAAGCCAAAAAGTAATAATACAGTAAACAGACACTTCTAGAAATTGTCATGCAAATCTCTGACTCAATAAATAGATTAAACCAGGTTGCAATGGATAGGTAAGACTTTGAAAGGTAGTAGTCAATGGACAAATGCACTTTAAATGTACATGCTTTATATTAAAAGCTTACCTTAAAGAAATAATAGACAGGAAAATTTTCTGATGTAGGCGATCTATTCCTGTCTATACATTTTAAACCTTATGTTTGGAGTGAATTAATGCATCAGAAGACTATACAGCAAGATTACATAATGTGGCTCCCTCCTAGAGAACACAATTTCTTTTCATTGAGTTGCATTTTTATATCAATCTCCTGAAATTTCTCTAAGTTTTCTAAAAGAAATAGGCTTATAAAATATTTTCATGAATTTTCTATAGTAGACAAGGTCTCCATCAACTTTCATACATACAAGCTCATAAATACATTTAATCTTTTATTAGAGAAAGCTTTGCTTCTTCAGAGGTGCAGGATTAATAGCTCTATAAAGAGAATTGTAACCTAAAGAGACCTACAACCAATTTCTCTTTTAAGTCTCCACCTTACTCCCACCGTCCATAATATCTCATGCTTCTAAAGGCTGAGACTCTGAAGTACTTTTTCTCTGATAATCACTTGCTACTGTTTCAATTATGTCTTCTACAAATTTGATAAAATCTCTTGCCCATTGTACTATGTCTCCCATACACTTTGTCCTTGTAAATTAAAACATTTTGTTAATTTAAAACATAAATTTAGTTATTGTTTAGTAAAGCAGAAAAGAAAGATATATGAGCAACCCGCTATGTCCAACAAAAATGCTATTCGATAACTTTATTTAATTTTTAAAATTTAAATGATCACAATTTTTACTTTTTAATTTTAAAATCACATCCTTTTGTTATATATGGTTTTGTGTTAAGTCACTTTTGGAATAAAGTAAGTAATAAATATAGGCTTCTGAAATAAACACTACCACCTACTTTATACTATTACTTGAACAGCAGATAAATGATAAAAATGTTTGTCACCTTTCAATGATAAAATCCTGATCTTCTGTATTTGGATATTGGGGAATCACATCTTATTAGTCAGGAGTCATTTTGTGTTGCCTAACCTTGGGCTACTTAGTTAATCTCTCTGATCCTTAGTTTCCTCATCGATAACATGAGGATCATAATTATGTAATGGTGCTGAACTCGAAGGGTTGCTATAATAATTACATGCATACATTTATGTAAAGTACTTAACACCTGGACCATCACATAAAAATTGATTAACATTTGCTATTATTAAGAGAAAACTAAGTTGCAGAACATTATGTAGAGCATGATTTTGTGGAGGTGATGAAAGTTTCCTGCTCACATCTTTCTTCAAGAGAACCCGCTTTTGGGAGCACAGTTGTCCTACATATACCATGTGTGAAACATTTAAATTTATTGTGGTGTTCATATGCTGAGGCCTTACTTCCTTTGAGATGCCGCCAAGCAATGACGAACAGGGTGGAGGCTGCTAGATTTGGGCCATTAATGACCTGGGGCTCTTGCAATAGGCAATTCTTTTTCTGGGATTCCAAATTAGTCTAACACATAAATTTTTAGAACTGTGTTACGTGGTTTGAGACTCTTCCTTCCCAATTGTTCCCCCTTTCCTTTTTTTTATGTCACAGGTGTCACACATGCCTCAGGCTAAAGGCTCTTCTTGCCTGCTTCTCCTTCCTCTCTCTTCATTTTTCACAGGAGATTCCCAAATAAATCTCTTTTACATGTAATGGCATATTTACATCTGTTTCTCAGAGAAGATCTCAACTAATACAGATCATTTTATACACACACACGCATATATGTATATATGCATATATATGGAAAATTAAAAATTCTTGAAAGATAAAGAGGAAATTGATCAATTGCCTATAAAGAGTGTAAATGTAGGTTGAATAATTTGGCATTTTCCAACTTTTGGCTTATATCCTATTCAAATTTTATTTGAAGGTTTAGTATAAGCATGCATTAATTTTATATTTAAATGCAAATAAATCCATAAATAAACTAAATTCAATTAGAAACAACATGTTAAATAAAAAAATATTGAATATGGACTTAGAAACTCTAGATTTGGTTATCTGCTCTGACATTTTTTAACTGAGCAAACTAAATTCTCAACCTTACTTTCTTCACCTGAAAAAATGAGAATAATGATTGTCACATGACATTGTGTCTAATATAAAATGCAGGTTATCCATGCCAATGACATCCACTGTCAAAATATCCACTTCTCACTATTTAAGTTCAAGGTCAACCTTGTACAGAAAACAAATGCATGAATGCCTATATAGCATAATCTAAGATTTTGAGTGGCCTTATCTACCCAATGATAACACCTTTATCTGTTTTCTGTAATTCGAACTCTGCCAGGGGAGGGGGGTCTTGAATCCTGTTATTACAGATATATGGTGTTCAGTGCTCTATTATCCTGTGCACAAAATTAGCACTTGAATGACCAAAGTTCACTATGAATTTTGTTGATGGCAGTGAGATGCAGAGAACCTTGTTTCCATAGATTGATAGTAGCCTCATTTGCAGAAGCTTGTTTTGTTTCTTATAACCAGAATGCTTTTTGCAACATTGATATTTTTGTTATTAACTCTTACTTAGTAATAAGGTAATTATTGTAAATCATCCAGGCATCACAGGTGCATGCCCAACTAGAGGCTCCATTTGTATTGGCCCAAACTAAGCATCTGATGAAATAAAATGATGATTTCAACGTCTGGTAGAAAAAAGTTGAACAAATAAAATGTTTTTCAAAGTTAAATTATTACTTTTAAATTCAACAATTAGATTATCTAATTTATCTAACAACCCTACTGCCATGGAAAACGAAATGAGTCTAAAAACCCTTATGTAAAATAAGTAAGTTGAAAAATAGTGTAATAAATGAATCCTTTACCTCTACATGTAACAATAATTTTAAGAAAAAAATTTTTAAAAAGTTTAAAAATAAAGCATTCTTTGACATTTATAGCCATGCTTCTAAAATACAGTTAAGAGTCTGCTTTGTCACTTGCCATTCATTCTTCAGTTTCTCTGGACCCCTCATCTCAGTGAATAATACTACCATCTACCAGTTACCAAAACTAGAAATGTTAAGCTATTGTTTCGCCCTTTTACGCCAATACCATATATTCACTTGAATTTCTAATAGACATATCTAACTTAATATATGAAAACTAAATCATTTATCACCAATCCTCTTAACCTGATCTGCTCATAGCTTTCTCCATCTCAGTTATTGGCAACCCCAGTTTTCAAGCTTCTCTGGCCAAAAGCACCGACCTTATTGTTTACTCCTCTCTTTATCTCTTTGATAGAATCCATCAATGAAATCTTGTATATGTTCCTTCATAATTTATGCAGAATCTCATCATATGCACATCACATGGTCACTTTCATAACCGTTCTTTACCAGAATTATTGTCATTGATTCCTAACTGGACTTTTTGCTTCCACTTTTGTTTCTTTACAATTTATTCACAACTAAACCAGAATGAACCTTTTGAAAGATCCATGAAATATTTCTCTGCTCAAAGCCCTCCATTGATTCCTCGATTCAACCAGAATGAAAGCCAAAGTCCTTATGATTCTTTACCAAGGTCCTACACAATGTGATCCCCATTTTCTCTCTAACGTCATATTCCAGTTCTGTATTCTTCTCTCAATACACTCCAGTCAAACTGGCTTTATTTCTCGAACATGCCTGGCAGTCTCTACCTCAGCATATTTACACTATCAATCACCTATACCTGGAAAGCTCTTCCTCCAGATATCTACCTTCTTCATTCGCTCTCTTCACCTTTTCAGTGAGGCCCAACCCTTACTAACCACACTATTAACCCTATAACTCTCATTCTTTTAGCATTCTCTATTTTTTATAGCTCTTCTCACCTTCTAGTATACTAGAAAATATCTGACAATGAAGCAGTATGTTTACTTCTTGCAAGATTTAAACTGATTATGGCACCCAAGAGACACCAACAACTAAGATATGGGGTTAACTATGTAATTCTGAGTTTCATGATATTTGTTCTGTTCTCAGTAAAATCTAGAAAAAGTGGTGTCAACGAAAAGGGTCAATCTCTAAAATATTTAAAGACATTTATTCTGAGCCAAATGTAAGTGACTATGGCCCATGACACAGCCTTCAAGACATCCTGAGAACATGTCCCCAAGGTAGTTGGAGTACAGCTTGGTTTTATACATTTTAGGGAGACATGAAACATCAATCAAATACATTTAAGATATACACTGGTTCGTTCCAGAAAAGCAGGACTAGTTGAAGTGGGTGCTTCCAGGTTATAGGCAGATTTAAAATTTTTCTAATTGGCAGTTGGTTGAAAGAGTTATCAATATCTCACTGTGGGTAGCTAGTCAAACATGAACAAGGCAGGAGAGGGCTCCCACACCCCACCAGGAAAGTCAGGCGACTATCAGGTGATGGTCAAGCAGTTGTCACGCTGCCTCTCTAAAATAATAATAGGTTGCAGCCAGTGCCAGGGAAAGATAGTCTCCCTACAGATAGAAAACACCTGAAACAGGTTCTTAGCAGCTTTTTGATAAGATCTTAGGAGTTGGGCAAATTGGCTCAAGCATGCGCATTAAGAGGCAAAATGGCAGAGTATGACCTTCCAGGGAAATTCTGCAGGTAAAGGGAAGAACGCCTCAAGTGAGCATGCGCACAACTCCAGTAAATACACTGCGCGTGCTTACCTCCCAAGTGCTAGCAGTCCACTGTACATGCAGGCAGCCTGCCTCAAGGGAAGAATAAAGGGAGAAGTGACGCAAGACCCCGGAAGTACATCAACATAAAAAACCCCAAGTCGAAAGGTCAACCCTGCGCTTGTTCTTTAAGTTGCCTGTTTGCGCATATTCCCAGTGTACTTTCTTTTCTTTCATTCCTGCTCTAAAGATTTTTAATAAATGTTCATTCCTGCTCTAAAACTTGCCTCAGTCTCTCCTTCTGCCTTATACCCCTTAGTCAAATTCTTTCTTTTGAGGAGGCAAGAATTGAGGTTGCCACAGACCCATATGGATTCACCACCACTAACAAATAGAAAAGAATATCTGGGTTGTGATAAGAGGTTATGGAGACCAAAGCTTTATTATGCAGATAAAGCCTCCAGATAGCAGGGTTCTGAGATTATAGATTGCAAATGTTTTGTATGAGACTTACAGTCTGTGTTGATGTTAATGCCAGGAGAGGTATAATGAGGCATGTCTAACCCCCACTTTCTGTCATGGCCTGAGCCCGTATTTCAGGTTAAAAATAGAGTGCCCTGACCTAGGAGGAAGTGCATTCAGATTGCTATGGGCCTTCGAATTTTACTTTTGGTTTACACAGTCTCTCAGAACAGAAACTTGAATCTCAATAGGCAGACATACTGTCATTTTAGAAGATGCTAAGAGCCAGAAATTAAGGGGCCTCAGGAATAGAATACAAGCTTCAGATGACTGAGAAGTTTCAAAAATTAATGCCACATTTCAGACTGTACTAGTCCTGATGTACAGATTTAAATTCAGGCAAGGCAAGGACAGAAAATTGAAGAATGTCTATTAGGTTGATAAGTAAGGAAGCAGAAGTAGAATTCCAATCATTAGATTTGGTAACAAACAGAATAAAAATTGAGGTAAAGTATGTTCCTGAATAACAAACTGGAATCCTGTTTCTCTTATCTTATTGGGAATCATTATCACCCGGGGAGCATGTTTTAAAAATCTGGGTTCTCTGGGAATCATAAACTACAAAGTAAGAGACCTTTGAAATTTGTACTTTGAAAAGCTCCTTGAAATAATTCCAGTGGAGTCAATCCTCTGACCTGCCACTCACTTCATTTTACTTGACTAACTACAAGATTTTTTGAAGATTTCTGGCTCCCTTAAGATTCTGGGCCTGAAAAAAAAATTGAGTAGATTCTGCTACCGTGGGATATGAGATTTGAAGGTTAGATCAACACAATCTTTTAAAAAAGGCACAAAATGGCATTTCCCATACACTGTAAGCACCATGAGGGGAAGTTTTATCTGTGTCTTTGCCATCCTTCATACAGTGTCCATAACAGTGGCTGCTACATAGTAAAAGCTTCATAAATTATGGAACTGATTACATAAAATCAATGCCTACATGATAGGTTTCTTTAAAAGTCATTCTAAGTATTTTGAAACTCATATTTTTTCTAACTTGCTCTGCAATGAAAGCAGTCTAAAACATCGATTCAATGTAGTTGTTAATATATACTAAAAACTTAAAAAGTTTAAAAAATTTATTTTACCTCTGAATAAAACCAGTACTGGCAATAGGAACTAATATTTTGCCAATTTCCCCTGAGAAGAATTTGCTGCCCCTGTTTCTTGATGAATAAAATATCACTGTCTATTTCAATGATGTTGTCCATATTCAGCTCTTCTGCTAGTGAAGAAATTCATTCGTTTGTCTCTCTTGCAGTCAGTCACTGTAGGTTGCTTCTGCTCTCCATTTCTCTATGTTCTTTTTGAATGGGGAATATTTAAACCATCCAATTTCCAACGAGGTTTTGAAACTGAAAAAGTAATGGTGCATACAAATACATTATGTATTAATGAAAAAATGTATTTAACTTACGATTATGTCATTTATATTCTTATTTGGCAACCAGCTGCTTCTTTGAGCTTTATAATTGCTGCTTCTCTAATAGTCTTACTCTATCACCTTAAAGACGATCTAGTTCACACTAGTGGAAAGTGATACAAATCACTGCAACTGTGGCTTTCGCAAATTTTTTATTAGGTTGAGATTTCCTTCTATGAGCTTTATCCCATGAATAATATTATTGTTTTGTAAAAGGAAAATAAATCTTGGGACCCCAAAATCACTAAAGTAAAGGGAAAAGTCAAGCTGGAAATTACTTAGGACAAGCCTGCCTCACATTCTATTCAAAGTCATCCTTTGCTCACTGAGATAAATGCATGTCTAAATGCCTCCTTTGGAAAGGCTAATCAGAAACTCAAAAAATGCAACCATTTGTCTCTTATCTACCTGTGACCTGTAAGCCCCTCCCCTACTTAAGTTCTCCCCTCTTTGCTTCGAGTTGTCCCGCCTTTCTAGACCAAACCAATATTCATCTTACATATATTGATTGATGTCTCATGTTTCCCTCTAAGGTATAAAACCAAGCTGTGCCTTGACCTTCTTGGGCACATGTCCTTAGGACTTCCGAGGCTGTGCCATGGGCGCACATCCTTATCTATGACAAAATAAACCTTCTAAATTGACTAAGACACGTCTCAGATTTTGGAGGTTCACATGTTGGTAACTATGAAGGGATTTTGACTAGAGGTGTCCCTGACCTTTCACAAATCTATTGGTGCTTGGTACTGTTACAGGTAGTTAGACAGGCATGAGCAGGGAAGAAGAGGGCTCTCCCCTGACCCAGTATGAATGTCAGGTGACAGTTTGATGATTATCACACTGCTTCTCTAAAAATAGTACTTCAGCAGCCACAAGGAGAGATAATCTCGTGATGATTCACAGCTATTAACATTAAAAGTGCTAATTGAATGCAGATGCCAGGGAAAAGAAAGTTCCTGGGCATGTGCACTAGGAGACAAAGTGGTGAGGTATGATGTTCCGGGTACACTCCACTGGAAAAAGGGAAGAAAGCCTCAGATGAGCATGAATACAACTCTTCGGACAAACTGCGCGTGCTCAGTTCTCAAGGGTAAAGAGGGTGCTATGCATGAGGGAAGTCCACCCTAATGAAAGAGTCATGGGAAAGAAGTGAGCATATAAAGTCCTAGGATCAAGATCAAACGCTCCTTTTTGACTCTGTTTTGATCTTCAGGTGCCCTCTTAGATCTCTTCCAAGTGACCTTTCCTTTCTTTCCTGTTCTAAAGCCTTTTGAAATGATCTTCCACTCCCGCTCTGAAACTTGCCTCGGTCTCTTTTCCTGCTTCATGCCCCTCAGTCTAATTCTTTCTTCTGAGGAGGCAAGGACTGAAGTTGCTGCAGACCCTCATCGATACACCACTGATAACTCAGAGTAACTTGGATCTCTTCCACCAGTAACAGAACCAGCTTGTGCTATCTTTATGGCTCAAACAAATAGGACAATTTGCTGAGGCCTGGAAGCCCCGCCGCCCCGCCCCGCCCCTCAGAGAATCCCTGATGTCCCCAGATTTGGTCAAGATCTAAAGTTTATTTTGCTGTACAACTCCTTTTTTTGGAGTTTTACTTGCTTCCAACAAAAAAGGCAAGTTTCCCTGCTTCCATGACAATGGAAGGCAGATAACTTCTTTATGGAGTTTGAGCTCACTTCAAACAGGGAAGGTGAGTTTGAGTTTTTTCCTGCTTCTAGGATGTTAGAGAGCAGTCTTTAGCCTGAGACCCATCCCTAGGTAAGTAGATGAATTGGGGTTTTGTCTTGGCTAAAGTTAATATTAACAACAAACTGGTCTAAATTTCTCCTTACCATTAGAGCTCTCAGTGATCATATTCTTGTTTGTTTGTTTGTTTTGTTATTGTTTATTCTGGTCTTTCTTCTATCAGATTTAACCAACTCTACCTAATTTGGTCAAATCCGAATGAGAACTCCAAACTATGGGTAATGAGATCTCACTGAATTGGTTAAAATTCCTCACAGCTGCAAAAGAGAGGAAAAAGAAAACAACAGACAAAACCATGAACTTGGTTGCTGTGTTTGCATCCCATCTTAAAAAAAAATGTTGTTTCATTTACTTTTCTTCTATCATATACCTCCTTCTCCCTTTGCCATCTTCAGTACCAGGAAAAATCTAGAGAAGCCTTCTAATGACTCAAACCCATTTAAAGAATTGAAAAACAAAGGTGCCACTTACCCCTTTTGGGGTGTTCTGTTCTGCGTGTGTGTGTGAAGTTTCAAGAGTCATGGGCAGATTCTTCTTCGGTCTAAAGTTCTGCTTTCCTGTACTGCATTACCTGACCTTTTTGACTCTGGGGGTACCAGAGAGTACGTTGTACTGTGAAAGGATTTGAGCCTGGCGTGTGTAATGGCAGATGAGAGCTACAAAGTATAGGGGTGGGTGAGGACAGTTTACAGCAAGTGGTCTTGGCTATCTTTTTTCCTACTAGAAAGTTGTTATTTAAGAATTCTAATTCTAGTTCAATAAAGGGTTTTCTCCATTTCTTTTTCTCCCCAAATTAATTTCAGTGTGGCTTGTCTGTGTGCATTTATGTGAGGAGCTGACCTGTTGTTTTCATAGGTAAATAAAGACTGAGTTTCCTCAGCTCCAAACAGAAAATGCCTTTTACTCCTCCCAGCTGAAAGATACCCCTGGGTGACCTGGAGCCTCATGGGAGTGTCTAGTGGGTTTACCCGCCATGATGTGCAATGGCCCTACAGGGAAACACCAACAGAATTAGTTTTAAAAAGGCTCATCCAGAAAGTGCGTATGGGAGCTGGCCACTACATGCTTTGTGCCTCCCTGGAGATGCTTAGAGACAAAACACATAAGAGGGTGCCAATGACTCAGTGGTAACACACTGTGGCCTCCCACTGGCAACAAGCACACACTTCAACCCAGTCCACAAAAACCCTAGATGACAACTCAGTTCCTTCTTTTAAGAAAAAGAAACAGTGGAAAAGAAATTATGTAATAATGAGGAGAAAACAAGGAGAATGACCTCCTTTTGGGTACCGTGTTGGTTTTATGGCACTTCTACTTGCTAAAGTTTGTGAAAAATAGAAATATTATGGTCTTTGTGCACATTAACATCAAGGAAAAAGAGCCCTAAGGTCAATCTGTAAACTATAGAGTTCCTAAATTCTCTTTTTCTCTATTTTTTTTTTCTGCCTGCTTTAAATCTGCTGTTACTTTTCTACTGAGATAAAAACCACAGTTTGGACCCGACCTCTTTATTTTGTTTTTGAAAGCCAGTAAATTTGTATTAATATCTCATGGCTAGAGTTCTGAAGTAAAAGTTACAGAATTTGTGTGTGTGAGTGTGTGTGTGTTTGTGTGTGTATATATTTAAAAGGCCTTTATGATAGATTTCTATTTTATGTTTAAATGGCAATTAAGCTGGTTTTGATTTCCCTCTAGCACACCAGACTTTTTCTCTCTTTACTTTGAGATGTACGTTTTTGTTATCTAATTTTTCACCTAAGGGTTATTTTCTTCAATATGAAAATTTGTGGTTATTTAGCTGACAATTACCTAGGGTAATAAAATAGGTTATCATTTTGAAAGTGTGAAAAAAAGGTCTTAGAACAGCCCAAGATGGACGACTTCGATGATTGTGTGACGGATGAGGAGACAGTAGGCATGGCTGCTAAATTCACCACTCATGCACCCCCAGAAGAATTTAATGAAGCATTCAATGATGTTCGGCTACTACTTAATAATGACAGTCTCCTCGGAAGGGGCAGCACATGCCTTTGCCCAGTATAACCTGGATCAGTTCACGCCTGTGAAGATAGAAGGATATGAAGATCAGGTCTTAATTACACAGCACAGTGACCTGGGTAATAGCAGAGTTTGAGATCCAAGAAACAAAATTTCCTTTAAATTTGATCACTTATAGAAAGAAGCAAGTGACCCCCAGCCAGAAGAAGTAGATGGAGGTCTGAAGTCTTGGAGAGAATCCTGTCACTGTGCTTTAAGAGCCTATGTGAAAGACTATTATTCCAACAGCTTCTGTACTGTCTATGCTAAAACTATCAATTAACAACAGACTATTATTGCACATATTGAAAGCCACCAGTTTCAGCCTAAAAACTTCTGGAATGGTGGTTGGAGATCAGAGTGGAAGTTCGCCATCACACCATCTACAGCCCAGGTGGTTGGAGTGCTTAAGATTCAGGTTCACTATTATGAAGTTGGCATCGTTCAGTTGGTTAGTCATAAAGATGTACAGGATTCGCTGTTTCGAATGAAGCCCAAACTGCCAAGGAGTTTATTAAAATCATAGAGAATGCAGAAAATGAGTATCAGACAGCAATTAGTGAAAACTATCAAACACTGTCAGATACCACGTTCAAGGCCTTGTGCCGGCAGCTTCCAGTTACCTGCACCAAAATCGACTGGAACAAGATAGTCAGCTACAAGATTGGCAAAGATATGCAGAATGCTTAAAGGCTGAATGTAGGATTCTTCAGTATGTGAAAAGACAAAGATTCAATGTGTAGTCATATGATAAATAAGTGATTTATAAACAAGAGTAATATTTTGCTAGGGTTTTCAAAGTTAACTGGTTTTCTGGCCTCATGGAATACTGTCGAACCTATAGCATTATCTTGATTCTTTTGTGTTCTCTGCCTTGTAGTTTTCTGTATTGCTATATCTATGTGTAAACCATTTTTTTGTTGTTGTTAATTCTGCCACGTTTAATGTTGGTGAGAGAGAAATCTATCCTAATGACATTTTACTGTTTAAAAAAGTTTCCTAGCCATGAAGCCCTGCTACTGATTTAGACAAGGTATTATGGTCATTACTTTCTACCCCTATCCTTCCAACCACTTCTGGTACTTCACTGGTTTTTACTGATTCACCAACACCTAAAGAGGCTATGCTACAATCTATAGCTAAGTGGACACATTCATCCTTCTCCCTCTGACTGCTTTGATCATCATTTATTGAATCTTGTAACTGTAACTTTCCAAAGTTTGGATTGGGACTTTTTGGATCCTTTTTGGAGGGCAAAGGAAGTGCCAGCTTCTCTGGGGAACTTGTTTTTAAATCCAAAGACTTGAACCACATTCCCTGAACATGAACATGTTTGCTTTTATCCATTCTCTCATTGTCTCCTTCCCATCTTAGTACCATTGTAGTTATAGACATCTGCATTTTTAGAAGCATTTTATCCATTTTACTAAACATTCAGGAACTGCTGACATACTGTGGATGTAGAGTAAAAAACTTGAAAAATGCAGATGTTGAAGGAATACTAGGTATCTTGTGCTTTAGTACTTTATAGCAAGATTGTACTATAAGCAAATGAATTAAACATCTATGTAAGTCATAAAAACTAAAAGTGACCCAAAGTGAAAAAGATAACTTCCAGGCAGTGTCTTTCTATTGTAACCTGTTATTTAAGGAAATACTAGTGATTTCCTCTAACTAGGATATAAAGCTTATTTCAAATTACTCTTCCTCAGTTCTGCCTGCCAAGAAATCAATTGTAACTGTGATAAAGTAATCTTTCTCAGGTATATTGGCAGGTATGTGTGTAATCTCAGAATACACAGGTGACATAGATATGACATGACAACTGGTAATAGTGGATTCATTTACATTGTTTACACTTCTACAACCAGGCCTTAAGGGGAAAGTCAGTTTTTTAAAAAACAAGTAGTGTCTTCCTACCTATCTCCAGATACATGTCAAAAATAAAAGGTGTTCATGCTTACGTTTTGTTTCTGCTCAGTAACATAGTCAAACAAAAGTTTGTTTCTAAACAGTTTGTTACTCATTGAGCTGTGTATGCATTTTTGTTTATTTCAAATAAAATATATTTGTATTATTTGTCATTCATACTATCCATCCCATAACACACTATCTTCTGTATCCGGTAGTCTAATAGAAATATACCCGTTTTGTTCTAAAAAAAAGTCTTATGAATCTATAAGATGTACTTCTATCACCATTCCTAATATGTCTATGTATCTATGAGCTGTGTACATAATGTTTCACTAATAAAAACATACAACACTCTAATTAATTGGCTTAAGAAAAATAAAAGCACTTAAATCAAATACTTTATCAGAAAAAAAGGAAAAGACCCGTCAAAGGCTTTTTCCCATTTTTGTGAATTAAGTAAAAATTTTAATAAATAAGCTAGCTTTAAAATTATTGGTAAAGTAATATTAGAAATATTTTAAGAATTTCCAGCATATATTTTTGTTTGAATTTATTGATCAAGCAATTTCACAGTTATCCCTGTCAAATACTATAAGGTGTCAAAATTTGGCAGAAGGGTTACAAAACTATAAACCAAGCCCAGAACAGAATAATCTTTGCTTCTGTAATTTTTGATACATATGATGTTAATATTGGTTTCATAAAAATTGCTAAATCTTAAATTATTTAGTTAATCTTAAGGTTCTTACTTAGGTAAACACCTAAAATTCACAGGCTATAAAATAGTTGACAGGGAAATAACTGCAGCCACCCAACAGTTTCACCTTGCCCACTACCCAGCCAGAGCTGATTTATTAAGACAGGGGAATTGCAATAAAGAAAGTGTAATTCACACAGAGCCAGCTGTGTGGAAGGCTGAAGTTTTGTTATTATTCAAATCAGTCTTCTCAAGAATTCAGGGATCAGAGTTTTTAAGTACAATTTGGTGGTTAATGAGCCAGTGAGTTGGGAGTTTTGATTGGCTGGGTTGAAGATGAAATCATAGGGAGTAGAAGGTGTCCTCTTGGGCTAAGTTAGGACCGAGGTGGGGGCCACAAGACTAGATGAGCCAGTGTATCAATCTGGGTGGTGCCAGCTGATCCATAGAGTGCAGAGTCTGCAAAATATCTCAAGCACTGATTTTAAATTTTACAATAGTGTTGTTACCCTTAGTAGCAATTTGGGGAGATTTAGAATCTTGCAGCCTCCAGCTGCATGAATCCTGAACCATAATTTCTAATATTGTGGCTTTAGGCAGTTTAGTCTCCAGGTAGGAAGGGGGTTTGTTTTGAGAAAGGACTGTTGTCATCCTTGTTTCAAAGGGAAACTATAAACTAGTTCCTATCAAAGTTAGTTCAGCCTCGGCTCAGGAATGAAAAAGGATAGCTTGGAAGCTAGAAACAAGATGGAGTCAGCAGGTCAGATCTCTTTCACTGTCTCTGTTATAATTTTTCAGTGGTGGTTTCATAACTGTAAATGATGACTAACATAGTTTTTATAAATAATCTAGGTAAACTATTAAAACAAAACAATTAGGTAAATTTAATGGGATAAATACTTCTGAATACACTTGTCATAATTTAGAATCTAAAGTTATATCAAATTAAATAATGGATATGTTATTAATTGGGTATTTTTCAATAAAAATATGGTAGAAAAACATTATTTCTAAAAAATAAATGTGTCCTTTTTAAAAGGTGAATAATTTTTGTCTAATTCAAAGATTATTTAAAGTTTATGTATAAAACAATGTAAAAGGAACTAGGAAATAAGAGGGATTTAAAGAATGTTACAGAAATAAAGAGATATTTTTGGTAAGAAAGGTTAAACACAAATAATTTTATGTGGGAAAGAATCTTGTATGGTAAATTTGTCCTAGAATAAAATGACTGACTGGTTGTTTAAAAAAGAAGGATGGTCAGGACAAACCAGAAAGTCCAATCATGTCATGAATGATCCATGTACATCATAACAAGAGGATTTATATTAAAAAAAAAACTTTCATTGATCAAGTTGCATATAATTAAATGAAAATTATAATGGATTTTCTAGAGATTAAATTTTGATTAAAAAAACTTAAACACTGAAGAATTCATTCAAACTACAAAATTTTATTAGGATATTGCTTTACTCTTAAATTACAAGACATTATACTATTTTTAATGGAAAATTCAACTTTTACTGTGTCTCGCTGTTTTTTAAGCTTTCTCTCACATTTTAAAAGGACAAAAATGAAATAATAACTCTATCTTTCAACTTATTTTCAATTTGTGAAAGTTTGTGTTTTTTCCCCTTTTGGGTTCTAACTGCTGTGGCCTAATGCTAAAAAATTTTAAGAATTAAAACATAAAAATAAAAGTTATATCTTAAAAGGATTTTTTTCTAACATAACATTTCCCATAGGGAACAGCAAAGTCTTTTCTTTTGCCTTGGGTAACTGGCCTGATAAACAGATCTTATGGTTTATCGAAATAATTCATACATCATTATTACTAAGTTCGGTTTGCTTAAAAAAACTGAGAGTATAAAAAATTTAATTAAGATTAAATCTGTGTCACTTTCTGTATGTATTTTTAAAGTCCTTGTGTCATTAAGTTACAGGGCTTTGACTTCTTAGTCTAAGAAGGACACCAAGTCCTGCTAAATCTTAACACTGACAGCAGTTAGAGCCTATCAGATATTGAATTCATATCTGATAGAATATACTAATCAAAATAAACTGCATTCATGAGACACAGGGCCAGAAAGTAAAGCTATTCAACTCTTCGAGGCCAAGGGACTATCACAGAAGAGGTGGGCACACGAGGTTGTAAGAGCTGATTTTGAGAGAAAAAATAACTTCAGTTTCTCTATAAATGAAACATTAATGTCAAAGGCATACTGATGCAAGACCAGAATATGGGCCCCTGTGTCATATTAGCAAGGTTTTCTTGAAGAATTAATCAACCCCTTAATAAAGGCTGTAAAGACCAAATCTTATGAGTCCTATGACTCAAATTTTATAGATTGTTTATAAAATTTTAAAAAACAAATTTAATAGGCTTTATGCTGTTTTTATTAGGGTTTATTGTTTGGAAAACTAAGTCTCCTTTCTCAAAGAATAAAGGTTTTTGCCTTTTTTTTGAAATCTTTGAGTTATCATTTTGCTTAAATGATTGACTTATTTTACAATTACCTGTGATCCTATTTTGTAATATCAAGCATTTTAAACCTTTGATATTTGACAAACTTTTCAAGATAAAATTATAATTTTTGTTTTTTTCTGATCTAATTAATCCTTTAAGATATTAGGTTCCCTAAAGTTCAAAAATGACGTATTTGGCTTATTTGGTATAAAAATCATACAGGGAGCATTGTCAAATATGAAATAATGTTTGGCTTTCTTTGTACAAAATGTTATTAGTACATGTTCCAAAATTATGGAAAAATCTTATAATTCTGATATGAGAGTGTACATTATAAGTAATAATTATAATTGTTATGTTAAAATATTGTGTGCTACAGAGGTAATAAACTTCCTTGTCAATTGTGTCTTTGACTGTGGCTGCTCCAAAACTTTTTGTCATCCACAGACGATTGTCTTCTTGTTTTGGTCTTATTTAGAAAGTAGTTTTATAATAAGCTATAAAACTCTAACAGGTGTTCTTGAAGGCAGGGTTCTAATAACTTTTGAGATTGTGACATGAGAATAGAGGAATATCTTTCAGAACTCTCATGGAGAGCTGGAATGTTCATGAATATCAAGCAGGACAGGAGTTACCTTCATAGGCTGAACTCATAGAAGACTGAAATAATCTTTTTTGACTTTTTTGCTCAAAACATTGCTGTTCCTTTGTTTTGTTTTTTTAGAGTCAATAAAATGTTTCTTTTGAGCTATTTATAGCTTATTGCAATTGAGTACAGTATACTACTATGAACAAAATTTGGAGCATATTTGTTTCTCTTTACCTGATTTCTTCAGAATTTGGAAACTATTTGTGAGTATTCTTAACTTATGGAAATATAGGTTTTTTTGCATAAGTGCAATAAGAATTTTTTTTAAACAATTTTTTCCTTCTCTGTTTTCCTTTTCTTCCCATTTTCCCCTGATTTTCCTAATTTGAAATTATTGAAAACTAATCTGTGCTTTTTTAAAGCCCTGCAAACTGAAGCTAGACAACTTAAACTTCAGAAAAAAATAACAGCAACCTATTTACATACACAAGCCACTTTCTTCCCTGCCTACTAATATATGAACTTTAGAGTAAGATGGCCTATATTAATTTTCCAAGATTGCTCTTTTGTTGTAATTTTTCTCCCTTCTTTTCCCTATTTTCCCCTTGTAGGACATGAGACTTCACAACCTGCTAAAAATGAGCTTTCCTAATAACATGGGACCTACCCATTTAGGAATAAACCATCTTAGCAAAGAGAGAGCAGCAAAACCTGAGACCAGAGACTCATTTTCTTCCAAAAGGCTGTGTTAGTCCATTTTCACACTGCTATAAAGATAGTACCTGGCCGGGCGCGGTGGCTCATTCTTGTAATCCCAGCACTTTGGGAGGCCGAGGCGGGCGGATCACGAGGTCAGGAGATTGAGACCATCCTGGCTAACACTGTGAAACCCCGTCTCTACTAAAAATACCAAAAAAATTAGCCGGGCGTGATGGTGGGCGCCTGTAGTCCCAGCTACTCGGGAGGCTGAGGCAGGAGAATGGCGTGAACCCGGGAGGCAGAGCTTGCAGTGAGCAGAGATTGCGCCACTGCACTCCCGCCTGGGCCACAGAGCGAGACTCCGTCTCAAAAAAAAAAAAAAAAAAAAAAGATAGTACCTGAGACTGGGTAATTTATAAACAAAAAAGCTTTAATTGACTCAGTTCCTCATTGCTGAGGAACTCTAGGTACCTGAGGAATCACCACACTGACTTCCACAATGGTTGAACTAGTTTACAGTCCCACCAACAGTGTAAAAGTGTTCCTATTTCTCCACATCCTCTCCAGCACCTGTTGTTTCCTGACTTTTTAATGATCGCCATTCTAACTGGTGTGAGATGGTATCTCATTGTGGTTTTGATTTGCATTTCTCTGATGGCCAGTGATGATGAGCATTTGTTCATGTGTCTTTTGGCTGCATAAATGTCTTCTTTTGAGAAGTGTCTGTTCATATCCTTCACCCACTTTTTAATGGGGTTGTTTGTTTTTTTCTTGTAAATTTGTTGGTTTTCATTGTAGATTCTAGATATTAGCCCTTTGTCAGATGAGTAGGTTGCAAAAATTTTCTCCCATTCTGTAGGTTGCCTGTTCACTCTGATGGTGGTTTCTTTTGCTGTGCAAAAGTTCTTTAGTTTAATTAGATCCCATTTGTCAATTTTGGCTTTTGTTGCCATTTATTCAGCATTTTTAAACAAAAGAAATTCCAACCAATAATTTCATATCCAGCCAATCTAAGCTTCATAAGTAAAGAAGAATTAACATTCTCTACAGAGCAGAAAATGTAGTTAATTGCCACCAGACATGTCTTACAAGAGATCTGGAAAAGAGTGCTCAATATGAAAAGGAAAGACCATTACCAGCTACTACAAAAACACACATAAGTAAACAGACCACTGACACTATAAAGCAACCACACAAGCAATCCAGTATAAATAACAGCTAACAACACAACGTCAGGATCAAATACACACATATGAATATTACCCTTGAATGTAAATTGGCTAAATGCCTTATTTGAAAGGCACAGAGTGGCAAGCTGAATAAAGAAGCAAGACCCAATGTCATGCTATCTTCAAGAGACCCATTTCACATCAATGACACAAATAGCCTCTAAATAATGGGATGGAGAAAAATCTGCCAAGCTAATTGAAATCAGAAAAGGGCAGGGCTTGAAATCCTAATTTCAGACAAAAGAAACTTTAAGCCAACAACTATAAAGAAAAGACAAAGAAGGGCACTACAAAATGGTAAAGAGTTCAATTCAAAAGAAGACCTAACTATGCTAAATATATATGCACCCATCCAAGGAGCACTCAGATTCATAAAGCAGGTTCTTAGTGATCTACAAAGATACTTAGATAACTGAACAATAATAAAGGGGGACTTCAACACCCCACTGAAAGTGTTGGACTGGTTATCAAAGAAAACTAACAAAGATATTTGGGACCTTAACATGTCACCTGACTAAGCCTAACAGACATGTACAGAACTCTATATCAAAAAACAACAGAATATACATTCTTCTCATCTGCACAAGACACATACTCTAAAATCAGCCTCACAATTGGCCCAGAAGCAATCCACAGCAAATTCAAAAAACTAAAGTCATAACAACCACACTCTCAAACCACAGCACAATAAAATTAGAAATCAGTATGAAGAAAATCACTGAAAACCATACAATACCATGAAAATTAAAGAATCTGCTCCTGAATGACTTTTGGGTAAACAATGAAATCAAGGCAGAAAGAAAAAAAATTAATTGAAACTAATGAGAACCAAGATATCACATTCTATAATCTCTGGGACACAGCTAAAGCATTGTTAAGAGAGAAGTTTATAGCACTAAACACCCATATCCAAAAGTTAGAAATGTCTCAAATTAATAATCTAATGTTACACCTAGATGAAGCAGAGGACCAAGAAAAAACTAGCCCTAAAGTTAGCAGAAAATATTAAGTAAACAAAATCAGAGCTGGACTGAAAAGAATTGAGATGCAAAAAAAAAAATTATACAAAAAATCGACAAACCTAGTGGTTGGGTTGTGAAAGAATAAACACGATTGATAAAACACTAGCTAGATTAATAAAGAAAAAATCTAAATAAACACAAAAGGGACATTACAACTGACCCTACAAAGACACAGAAAACCTTCAGAGACTACTATGAATACCTCTACGCACACGTACTAGACAACCTAGAAGAAATGCATGAATTTCTGAAAATATACAATGCCCAAGATTGAACCAGGAAGAAATAGAATCCCTGAACAGACAAATAATGAGTTCTGAAATTAAATTAGTAATAAAAAGCCTACCAACCAGAAAAAGTCCAGGGCCAGACAGATTCACTGCAAACTATTACCATATTTATAAAAAAGGGCTGACATCATTTCTCCCGAAACTATTCCAAAAAATTTAGGAGGGACTCCTCCCTAACTTATTCTATGAGGCCAGCATCATCCTGATACCAAAACCTGGCAGAGACACAGCAACAACAAAAAAACTTTAGGCCAATATCCTTGATAAACATACATGCAAATATCCTCAACAAAATACTAGAAAGCCCAATCCACCAGCACATCAAAAATATAACCCACCATGATCAAGTTGGCTAAATCCCTAGGATACAAGTGTGATTAAACATATGCAAATCAATAAGTGAGATTCATCACATAAATAGACCTAAAAAGAAAATGATACGATCATCTCAATAATCACAGAAAGGCTTTTGATAAAATTCAAATCCCTTCATGTTAAAAACCCTCAACAAACTAAGCATTGAAGGAACATACATCAAAATAATAAGAGCAATCTATGACAAATGCACGGCCCACATCATACTGAATGGGCAAAAGCTAAAAGCATTTCCCTTAAGAAAATGAGCAAGATCAGGATACCCACTCTCACACTCCTATTCAACATAGTATTGGAAGTCCTAGCCAGAGCCAACAAGCAAGACAAAGAAATACAAGGCATCCAAATAGAAAGTTAGGAAGTCAAACTATCTCTGCTTTCAGACAATATAATGCTATATGTAAAAAACATCGTAATTTCTGCCCAAAAGCTCTTAGATCTGAAAAACAACTTCAGCAATGTTTCTGGACACAAAATTAATGTACAAAATCAATAGCATTTCTATACACCAACAACGTCCAACCTGGGAGCCAAATTAAGAATGTGGTCCCATTCAAAATAATCACAAAAAATTAAAATACCTAGGGATACAGCTAATCAAGGAGGTGAAAGATCTCTACAAGAAGAGTGATAAGACACTGCTCAAAAAAGTCAGAGGTGACTCAAGCAAATGGAAAAACATTTTGTGCTCATGGATAGGAAGAATCAAAGTTCTTAAGATGGCCACACTTCCCCAAACAATCTACAGATTCAATGATATTCCTATCAATCTACCAATGACATTCTTCAGAGAATTAGAAAAAAACAATTTTCAAATTCATATGTAACCAAAAAAGAGCCCAAATAGCCAAGACAATCCTAAGGAAAAGGAACAAATCTGGAGGCATCACGTTACTCAACTTCAAACTACACTACCAGGTTACCATAACCAAAACAGCATGGTATTAGTACAAAAACAGACACATAGACAAACGGAATAGAATAGAGAGTCCCAAAATAATGCTGCACATCAACAACCATCTGATCTTTGACAAACTTGACAAAAACAAGCAATGGGGAAAGCAATAAATGGTGCTGGGATAGCCAGCAAGTCATATTCAGAAGATTGAAACTGGATCCCTCCCTTACACCATATACAAAAATCAGCTCAAGACAGATTAAAGACTTAAACATAAAACATAAAACTGTAGAAACTCTAAAAGAAAACCTAGAAAATATCATTCTGGACATACAACCTGGCAAATATTTCATGACAAAAATGCCAAAAGCAATTGCAAAAAAAAAGTAACAAAATTTGATAAATGGGACCTAATTAAATTAAGAGATTCTGCACAGCAAAGGAAACCACCAACAGAGTAAACAGACAACATATGAAATAGGAGAGAATATTTGCAAACTATGGCTCTGACAAAGTGTGGTATCTAGAAACTATAAGAAGCTGGAACAAATTAACAAGCAAAAACAAATGACCACATTACAAAGTGAGCAAAGCACATTAGCAGGGACTTTTCAAAAGAAGACATACACACAGCCAACAAGAATATGAAAAATAGAAAAATAGAATAAAATCATTCAATCATAAAGACACAAGCATGCATATGTTCATTGCAGCACTTTTCACAATAGCAAAGACATGGAATCAACTCAAATGCCCATCAATGGTAGACTGGATAAAGAAAATGTGATACATATATACTATGGAATACTATGTAGCCAATAAAGAAATGAGATCATGTCTTTTGCAGAAATATTAATGGAGGCCATTATCCTAAGTGAACAAATGCAGAAATGAAAAACCAAATACTGCAGGTTCTCACTTATATGTGGGAGCTGAACCTTGAGTATACATGGACACAAACAAGGGAACAACAGACACTGGGGCTTACTTGAGTGTGGAAGGTGGAAGGAGGGTGAGGATTGAAAAACTCTGAGTATTTATTGGGTGATGAAATAATGGGAACACAAAACCCCCATGATATTCAATTTACCTATGTAACATACCTGCATGTGTACTTTGAACATAAAATAAAAGTTAAAAAATAAAATCTAAAAATGAAAATCTGTAAACAACACTCATGCACACTCATAAACCTCAAAACAGAAACAAAGACAAAAACCCAACTCTCTATTTTGATACACCAAGGCAAATAAATGAATTAATAAATAGACTCCTTTGTGTTCAAATGTATTTTGTTATTGGTTCATTGGCTGTAGGTACCAAAGGACGACTAGCAATTAGGCATTAGAAAAAATAAAAATGGTTTCATTAAATATCTCAACCATATTATTCTCATATTAACTAGATTATATTTCTGTTGTTTGCCATTCAAAAGTCCTTATCTATTTTTGACATCATAAACTAGTAAAAATATATGTGCCTCACTATAAATACATCATTTCTATTCAATGAAAGAGCAAGGCACCATTGACCTCACAGAATTCAAAATTTGCATTTAAACCTAGACAGGTTTAGACATGAAGCAAAATGAGTCTTTAGCAAAACCAGGCTTTCAGGGTGAGAACAGAAGTTTTCTTTTCAAGGTGGACTTGAGGAAGAAAGATTCTGATTTAGACAGTCTAAATAAACAGATATTCCAGGAATAGCATCTGAAGAAGTCCTATAATCTTAATACTTAATTCAAAAGAGACTAACAACAATATATGTGACCAAAAGTTTGAGATAAAACAGGAATAATTCAGTCAGATAACCTGGTACCAGTCAGAAATGTTATCATCAACATTTCTGTTTACCATATATATCCAGATCCTGACTAATGGACTAAGCCTAACAGGACAAGATCTGTGGAAAATGTAAAGGAGATACAGGAGTCAGTCCTAAAACAGAAAACCAACACATTAGAAAGGGCTGCTGATCAATTAAAACTAAGGTGAGATCAACAGGCTGTAGCCCACTATTAAAACTCTGACCAACATCTTGGGATGGGAAGGAGAATGATAGACAATAAAAAATACTCCACCTTGGAAATAAGTGAAAGCCTTGAGTTCACCTCTAGCATGCACAGTAACTAGAAGGGAAGCAGTGGATGAAATGTGGAAGATACAGAGTAAAGAAGAAATATGATCATAACTCTGGATTAAGAATGCTCATCTCATGAAAAAAACAAACAACTCCATGAAAAAGTGGGCAAAGGATATGAACAGACACTTCTCAAAAGAAGACATTTATGCAGCCAAAACACACATGAACAAATGCTCATCATCACTGGCCATCACAGAAATGCAAATCAAAATCACAATGAGATACCATCTCACACCAGTTAGAATGGCTATCATTAAAAAGTCAGGAAACAACAGGGGCTGGAGAGGATGTGGAGAAATAAGAACACTTTAACACTGTTGGTGGGACTGTAAACTAGTTCAACCATTGTGGAAGTCAGTGTGGCGATTCCTCAGGGATCTAGAACTAGAAATACCATTTGACCCAGCCATCCCATTACTGGGTATATACCCAAAGGATTATAAATCATGCTGCTATAAAGACACATGCACACGTATGTTTACTGTGGCACTATTCACAATAGCAAAGACTTGAAACCAAGCCAAATGTCCAACAATGATAGACTGGATTAAGAAAATGTGGCACATATACACCATGGAATATTATGCAGCCAGAAAAAAGGATGAGTTCATGTCCTTTGTAGGGACATGGATGAAGCTGGAAACCATCATTCTCAGCAAACTATGGCAAGGACAAACAACCAAACACCGCATGTTCTCACTCATAGGTGGGAATTGAACAATGAGAACACATGGACACAGGAAGGGGAACATCACACACCGGGGCCTGTTGTGGGGTGGAGGGAGGGGGGAGAGATAGTATCAGGAGATATACTTAATATTAAATGACAAGTTAATGGGTGCAGCACACCAACATGGCACATGTATGCATATGTAACAAACCTGCATGTTGTGCACATATACCCTAAAACTTAAAGTATAATAAAAAAAAAGAATGCTCATCTGGTATATACTATAATAATTAATATTATAGGTTGAAGAGAATGGAGGTTTGGAGACAAGATTAAAGATCTTTATTCTAATAATTTCAGAACAGTTACTTTGTAAAATATTGTTACATTTGTATTTATGCCTTTATTAGAATTCTTTTATCAAGCCATGTTTGAAGGATAATTGTATGCATTCATTAACTAACAATCCCAAATTATTATATACAGTCACATGCCATTTAATGATGTATTGGTCAATGATGAAATGCATATATGTCAGTGGTCCCATAAGATTATAATGGAGCTGAAAAATTCCCGTGACCTAGTGTCATATATGTAGCTGTCATAACATCATAGCAAAATGCATTATTCAGATTTGTGGTGATGCTGGTTTAAACAAACCTACTGTGCTGCCATTCATATACAAGTACAGCACATACAATTACACAGAGTACATAATACTTGATAATGATAATAAATGGCTATATTACTGGTTTATGTATTTACTCTTTTTAATTGTTATTTTAGAGTGTTCTATTATACTTATAAAGAAGTGTTAACTGCAGAACAGCCTCAGATAGGTCCTTTAGGAGGTATTATAGAAGAAAGCATTGTTATCATAGGTGATGACAGCTCCATATGTGGAATTGCCCCTGAAGACCATTCGGTGGGACAAGGTGTGGCACTGGAAGACAGTGATATTGATAATCCTGACTCTGTTTAGGCCTGGATCATGTTTGCATTTGTGTCTTTTTTTAACAAAATGTTTAAACAGCAAAAAATATTTAAAATGGCAAAAAGCTTCAAGAATAAGGATAAAATAAAATAGTTTTTTACAGCTATGTCATGTGTTTGTGTTTTAAGGTGTTATTAAAAAAGAGTCAAAAAGTTAAAAAAATTAAAACGTTTATGAAGTAAAAAAGTTACAGTAAGCTAAGGTTAATTTATTAATAAAGACAAATATTTTAAAATAAATGTAATGTAGCCTAAGCATGCAGTTTTTATAAAGTCTACAGTTGTTTACACCAATATTGTGGGCCTTCACACTCACCACTTACTCACTGACTCATCCACAGCAACTTCCAGTCCTCCAAACTGCATCCATAAGTGCCCTATACAGCTGTACCACATTTTATCTTTCATACTGTATTTTTACTGTATCTTTTCTATGTTTAGATATGTTTAGACACACAAATACTTGCCATTATGTTACAATTGACTGCAGTAATCAGTACAGTGATATACAATACAGGTTGTAGCCTTGGAACTATAGGTTATGTGACACCGCCTAGGTGCGTAGTACTCTAATCTACTTAGGTTGGCATAAATACACTACGATGTCTCACAGCAACAAAATTGACTAATTACATATGTCTCAGGACGTATTCCTATCTTTAAGTGATTTATAGCTGTAGTTTCATAATCTATCCATGTTTTTGGATGATGTGCATGACAACCAAGGTGGTGTAATGTTCATTTGTGTTCATTTTTTGTTCTAGTTATTGACACAGATTTCTGACCATATTTTTCATTATTATAGACATGCAGAAATTGTTAATTGAGGTCATCTTATCTGGATTAACCATAGCAAACTTTTATTAGTTTGCTAGGTCAGCTGTAACCAAATAGCAGAGACTAGGTTGCTTAAACAACAGAAATTTATTTTCTCACAATTCTGGATGCTAGAAGTCCAAGATTAAGGTGTCGGTAGGATTGGTGCCTTCTCAGAGCTATGAAAAAAGGATCAGATCCAGGCATTTCTTTTTGACTTGTAGATGGTCTTTTGTCTGTGTCTTCAATTTTTTTCCCTCTGTGTGTGCCTATGTTCAAATTTCCTCTTCTTATAAGAAAGAACCCAGTCTTATTTGATTAGGACTCAACATAATAATCTCATTTTAACTTAATTGCCTCTTTAAAGGATCTGTCTCCAAATACAGTCAAATTCTGAGGTACTGGAGATGGTTACTCACATGTTTCTAATGACCTACTTTAGATCTTTCTAAGATTTAGTGGTGTAATATTATGATCATTTTAATCCTCATGCATATTGTAATATCATGCAAAGCATGAACACAAATGAACATGATAATATTGCCTGGTTATTTTCAAGCCTATAAGGAAATTAGTGTGTCTTAATTCCAAGATGCTTTTTTCTAATTATTTTACAATCATTTAATTTAAACCTCTCTTTAAATAGCCACTTAACTGGTCTTCTCATCTCTAATCTCTTCTTCTTTATTATGTCTCTACACTGCCAACAAAGGAAATGCCAACTTGTTACTCTCCTCAAAAAAACCTTTCAATTATTTCTTATTGTATGCAAAATAAAATCCAAAATTTTCCGCTCGACTCTTAGTGTCTGGCAACAGCTTATCTAGCCATATTTTCCTAGTACATGCTGATACTTCAACCACACTATGACATACACACTCTCTGTCTTTTGCATCCATGTTTTACTTATGTTGAACTCTTTTTCTTCTTTCCAAATTCCCTATGTTGAGGTTATATGTACACCTTAAAGACCTATTCAAGTGTAATATCCTCTGTGAAGCCTTTCTTCATCCTGTCTACATTTCCCTCCATGTTCACCTGTTACCCTTTACTTGAACTACGTTATAATCTTTATGATAGTCTGCCTTGTATTAGTTGCTTAGTACTTACTTGCCTCTTCCATTTATTTGGCAGTCCCATGAATGAGAGGAGGGCAAAGCCTGTATCGTATTCAACTTTAACTCTATCAGAGAAACTTGCACCTAATAGGTATTTGATTAATTGAACTGAAGAATATGAAATGAAAAATGACAGATGACTAAATTAAAGTCAATTATATCAATATGTGAGAGCTTCAGATTGGCTGGGTTTGATGATGAATGTGATATTGAATTTAACTATTTATAGCTTTAGAATTTTTGTAGTGTCATATTTTCTCTTTTTTCTGTAAACTAGTAATCCAAAATAATTATTCTTATTTCTATGAACTATCCAAATTCATTCTCAAGTATAAAAAATGGGTTTCCAATAGAAGTTTCATTGTCAGGAAGTAAATGTGGCTACAGAATCTAGGTAAGCCAAAAAGAATGGCACTTTGGTAAATATGGGTCCCAAAGGCCTATCAGAGCAATTAGTTTCTATATTAACATTAGCCCTGGTAGAAAGAGTTTTAAAATTATATCTTAACTGTTTTAATGAGTCTCTATTACAGAAACCCTGAAGTATTTTATATCTCACATGGAAGAGTATAATTAGGCATGAACTGATGCATCTGTGCCTGTTGTGAAACTAGAATTTATAACAGATGACTCTGAACCTGTTTTCTGCCTGTTATTATGACTCAAAAACATTTGCAAGTGCTGTAACTAATATTTTAATATAATTGGTAACCAATCTGCACACCATTTCCCTTTTCCTGATATACAAACAATTGTGAGAGAATCCAGGTGCAATTCTTTTACAGCTCTTATAAAACACTATTGAGCAGCTAATGACCTTGACAAAATTATCTTCATTAGAGTCTTGAAGGGTAATTCACTCTTTTTTGGTGAGGGTATTCTGTAGCAAAATGAGTTTTTGGTAATCTGTACCCTGAAAATGCTTTGTTTTTTTTTCGTACATTACCCCTTAAATGCTTAAATGTTTTATCTTCTAAATCTTCAATTTCCCTGTTCAATTTAATTGATACAATGTATTATTTATAATCTTTGTATAATATTTTCTTTCAATTTATCTTGGAGAATTAGAAATATTATTAAAATACACAATGATGTATTTTTTTCTGAAAGCTCGGTTAATAAAGTAGAAATAATTACACAAAGTAAGTTCTTTAATATGAAGCTATCTATCTATCCTAGCCAAACATTCTTACTCACCTTCCCAATGGCCTAATTTGAAAATAAATTGAAAAATTGGTTTGCAACAACAACAATAAAACACAATTTCCTACAGCTAGATATGCTTAAAGAATGGAAGCTACCAGAATGCCTACCAAAAATGTCCACATGCAGCTTTGGATAATTGGGAGACTATGAGAATGTATAATTTCATTATCCATTGAAAATATTTTCTTTAGGGATTTATAGTCATTAGTGTCACCTTCTCTTTTATTGTAATAATGTCCAGAGGCACAAGACTGAACATTTTATTACTTACCATTTCATAGGCTGGTTATTTGAGGAGCATCTCATGATGAAAGCAAAGCTGGGCTTTGGGTCTTGTAGCTGAGAATGCTCCAAAGAGAGCAATATGACTGACTCCTAGATTGTATTGGCTCTTCCAAGCTAGCATAGCACCTTTCAGAAAATGCACTTGGGTAAATGGGATCTCAGTTGCCTAAATAGTTCCAGCTTTAGAGCTCTTTACCTCACTCCTTACTACCTTGGTGACTGACCTTCATAGCCGACCTCATAATTTTGCTTTCATGTTCAAATCATTTTATGACCTTGGCTTTCTTCCTGTTTCTCTTTTATATCTTGCCTCTTCACATTTTATATTTCTTAAAAATTCTATAAGCATCATAACTTACTATTGAACATGATTCCTAAGAAAACTTGTCCCAGAAGTCCATAAATTTTCAGAGAGCACTATCTAGAGAATTCAGTCATGCATTTGTTACTATTAAAATATTCCAGCTGCTTATTTTATAAGAATAATACAGTACTAACTTTAGGATTACTCAACAAGGTAGGTTTATTCTCATCAAATAGTAGTATTAAAGTGACCTTCTTCAGTGATCATTTTGCTCAAATACAATCAATTTACAGATCAAAAATTGAGCATCTAAAAGGAAAACAAAACAAAATAGAACAAAAACCAATTACATAGCTAGAGTTAGAGATGGAGCTAAACACAAAAGCTCTGGACTCTGAATCTAGTACTCATCCTAGTGTGCTGTGTTCTAGCCCTTATTCTGTATCAATCACAAAGCTTCCACTCAATTCTAGTAGGTCTTTTGTCCACAAAGCAAACTATTTCCCTTCTAGTTCTGTTGCAAATAGACATAGAACATACAAATGCAAAGAACATTTTAAGCTGATTCATCTGAAAGGTTTTTTAATTTGCCCTCACAATTTAAAGAGCCATTATTTGAGTCAGACAACAGCAGAGAACATTTCCTGTCACATGATGATAATACACATATTGTTGTTGTTGATAAAAATTACTTAATAAAACTAGGAATGTTATTTAGGAAAAACGCTTCAATATTCTGAACTTCATTTTTCTTATGTATAAAATGGTGATATGAAAATTAATAAGAATAGCTAATAGTTTCATCAAACACAGACATGTACTACTATCCCAGTGTGGACTATCTTTTTCCATGAAATTATATTTATTTACTTTTATTTTTATTTATTTATTTTTTAAGATGGAGTCTCACTCTGTCTCTCAGGCTGGAGTGCAGTGGTGTGATATCGGCTCACCACAACCTCCGCCTCCCGGGTTCAAGCGATTCTCCTGCCTCAGCCTCCCTAGTAGCTGGGATTACAGGTGCCTGCCACCATGCCCGGCTAATTGTTGTATTTTTAGTAGAGACAAGGTTTCACCATGTTGGCCAGGCTGGTCTTGAACTCCTGACCTCAGGTGATCCACCTGCCTCGACCTCCCAAAGTTCTGGGATTACAGGCATGAGCCACCACACCCAGCCAGAATTTTACATTTAAGCTACCTCTTGATTATAAATATAAATAACACTGAGGTGTAAAAATAAATTGGAAGTAGTCTTAGAATTTATTCTTATCCCAATAAAATCTATGTTCATTCTTCTTTTTATGATCTTGCAATGAGGCATTAGGGTTGCATTAATAATTTTTTAAAAACGTTCTTTACCCATTAGTTCCTACCTTCTATATCACAAAAATTTTGACTAATCAGATTTAGATTTATTGAGTCTTTACTATATCACCTCAAGGAATAGTAATATCTGCAGGTAGGATAGGTCATACATGAGACAAAAGTGAGTCATCATCAGTAATTTGTATTAAATACAACACACATAACAATCCTACAATGATTTGGATTTGATGCCTTCAATAACCATTTGGAGTTAGTGTTCAGACATTCCAGGTACCAGATTCTTGATATTGTTTAGACTTCTTTGGGCCAAAATTCTTCAAAAGGGACACAAACCAACCGAACTAAGTGAAGTTGTAATTTACACAAATTAAAAGAGCTACTTTCAAGTTATATGCAAATGTGTGTGTATGTTTGTGAATTACATGTATTGAAGGGTGCTGGAAAGAAAAAGGGAATCTTCTTTTCCTTCCCTATCTAATCATCCTGTCTCCTTGAATCTCTGTAGAATATTAAAAAGCAGTGCCTAACTTTCTCTAATGTTCCACTTCTATTCTTCTGTTGATACTTATCTCTTTAAACTTCTCTCCCTCCCTGAATTTTCAGAAAACACCATCTCCCTAAAATATCACCTGTTATCAAGTACCAGGCTTCCTCTATTTTCTAGCAATTTTCAGACCTCCAGTCATTCACTGAATTAGAGCGTGTTACTTCACCTCTTACATTTTCTCCTGGTCAACAGAAGAGAGCCTATTGTTGAAATT
Organism: Homo sapiens; assembly: GCF_000001405.40. Taxonomy (NCBI): domain Eukaryota; kingdom Metazoa; phylum Chordata; class Mammalia; order Primates; family Hominidae; genus Homo; species Homo sapiens. The sequence continues at coordinate 88,077,279 of NC_000023.11, read as the reverse complement.
CAAGAGGTAGCTTAAATATAAAACTCCCTGCACAAAATACTGGGCTTAGGACCTACTAGCTTGGAGTGAGGTTGGGTTTTGGAGTGGGGGTGATATTGAGAGATTCCAACTGCAGTCAGAAACTGATCCACTTATTGTGGGACCTGAAACTTCCACAAAATGAAGAACTTACAAAAATTGAGCTCAAAATTATAAATAAAAAATTAGGTACAAAAGTGAATACATTTTCAGCAAGAAAAAATGAAAGTAAAAATTTAAAGCTGACAAATACCTCAAACTTCAAAAAATCCAGAGACATATTTTTTTAAATTAATAACTCTCTGAAATACTTTTATAATACTTTTTCCCCTACATTTTTCCCCTACATGTACACTCTGTGATTGCCTCTTCACATGACAATGAATTTTAAGTCTAATTTTCTACACAGATATTAGGATGATAATTAAGTCTTTCCTCTTTGGTAAGGCATTTCTCAAATTTATTTGCATTTAGAGACATTTTATCTCTTCTTCATTAACTTGTTATTTTGAATAATTACAGATTCACAAAAAGTTGCCAAACTATTACAGATAGTTTCTATTTAATCTTCATTCAGCTCTCACCAAATGGTGACATCTTGCACAGCTATAGTACTCTACTGAATCCAGAAAATTGACATTGATACAATGTGTATACAGTTTTGTTTCCGTATATTACATGTATACAGTCATGTAATAACCACCATAATCAAAGCATGGAGCTATTCTATCACCATAAGAATACTTCTTGCTTGTCTGGCCATATTCACCTCCCCCTCCCCAAACACAATCCTGGAAACCTCAAATCTGTTCTTCATCTCTATAATTTTGCCATTTTGAGGAATGTAAATAAATTTCTTTCAATAAATAATATTATTTAAATAAAAAAATCATACTACATGTAACCATTTGATAATTGCTTTAATTTATGCAGCATTATGCCCCTGAGATCCATTTAAGTTGTTGCAAGTACCAATAGTTTGTTCTTTATTATTGCTGAATAATATTCCATGATATGGTTGTGTCAAAGTTTGACTCACTACTTACCTATTATATAACACTTTTTTTCCAGTTTAGGCTAATACAAATACAAACAAACATGTACAGGTATCTGTGTGGACATGTTTTCATTTATCTGGGATAAATGCTCAAGAAGGCAATTGTTAGGTCATATGGTAAATGTGTGTTTAGTTTTTTAAAAAACTGACAAAACAATTTTCAGGAGTGGTTGTACTATTTTATATTCCTACTAACCAGGTATCAGAGGTACATAAGCTGCAGCAGCAGCAGCATTTGGTATTGCCACTATTTTCTATTTTAGCGGTCTAACAGGTGTGTAGTGATATCTCTTGTGGTATTAATCTGCATTTCTCTAACGACTCATGATATTAATGTGTTTCATCGCTTATGTGCCATGTGTAAATACTCTTCTGTGAAATGTTTTTCATGTCTTTTGTCCATTTCTAGCTTTTATTGTTGAATGTATACTGTACCTTGAGGTATTTATAAGTTTTAAATATAAAGATAGTTTGCAAATACTTTCTCCCAGTCTGTAGCTTGTCTTTTCTTCCTCTTAATAGAGGTGTCTGCAGACCAAAAGGTTTAACTTGTGATGAAGTCCAATTTATCATTTCCAAAAATTATGCGTCATTTTTTCTGGTGTCATGTTTAAATACTTTTTTGCTTAGCCCTATATTCCAAAGATTTTATCCTGTGTTTACTTCTAATAGTTTTATATTTTGAAGTTTTATATTTAAGTCAATGATGCATTCTGGGTTAAGTTTTTAATTGAGAGATTTAGTTTAAGGTCAATTTTTGCCTATTGGTATGCACGTGTTTCATCACCATTTGTTAAAAAGTTTATCATTCCTCCATTGAATCACATTTGTGCCTATGGCAAAAATCAAATGGCCATATACATGTAGTCCTATTTTTCTTCTGTTTGGTTCCATTCTATGTGTCTGTCCCTTCTAAAAATAATAGTTATATAATAAGTTTTGTAGTAAGTTTTGTAATTAGACAGACTGACTCCTCCCACTTTATTCTTCCTTTTCAAAATTATTTCATCAATCCTAGCGTATTTTTCTCTCCATATGACTTTCCAAGTAATCTTATCCATAACTACAGAGTATCTTCCTGGGTTGTCAGCAGCATTATGTTAACCCTGTTTATCAATTTATTGAGAATTGATATATTTACCAAGTTGAGTCTTGCAATCTATGAACATGGTTTATATGTCAATTTTTATCTATACCACCTTTGATATATTTCATAAGTATTATAGTTTTCAATATATATGTCTTATACATGTTTTGTTAGATTTATAACTAAACATTTCATTTTTTCTCTGAGTGATTATTAATGGCACTGTATTTTTAATTTTGATTTTTCCTTGTATTCATTGCTAGTATATAGAAAGACAATTCACTTTTTATGTTAATTTTATATCCAGGGAGACCTCTTTTTAGTCATGTTTGACTTCAGATTTTCAAAGTCTAAAGTCCATATTTTATCACACAATACTATTCTCTGCGACTTCCAGAATGTGGTTAATGTGGCATTGTAAGATGTTCCTTTATTATCTCCATGACTTTTTCTAAGACTGCAATACTAATTATGCAAGGATTTTTAAAAATTATTATACTTTAAGTTCTAGGGTACATGTGCACAACGTGCAGGTTTGTTACATAGGTATATATGTGCCATGTTCGTTTGTTGCACCCATCAACTCGTCATTTACATTAGGTATTTCTCCTAATGCTATCCCTCCCCCAACCCCCCACCCTCCGACAGGACCTGGTGTGTGATGTTCCCTGCCCTGTGTCCATGTGTTCTCGTTGTTCAACTCCCACCTATGAGTGAGAACATGCGGTATTTGGTTTTCTGTCCTTGTGATAGTTTGCTGAGAATGATGGTTTCCAGCTTCATCCATGTCCCTGCAAAGGACATGAATTCTTCCTTTTTTATGGCTGCATAGTATTTTAAGATGTATATGTGCCACATTTTCTTAATCCAGTCTATCATTGATGGACATTTGGGTTGGTTCCAAGTCTTTGCTATTGTGAATAGTGCCGCAATATGCAAGTTGTAATGTTGGTACTGCCTTTATTTTAACCAGAAAGTGTAAACAAAAGATTTTCAGTTGGCAACCAATCCACGTTTCTACCTAAAATATTCCCTAAATATTTTGTTGACTGAAATGCTGAAGAGCTCAAGTTGTGCAGTCAGCCATCAAGATTAAAGACTAAGTCACTGTGCTTTCCAGCAAGTTTATTTTTACTGTTAACATTATATCTACAAATGTATCAAGAATTAACAGCCCTGGTGATTTACCAAGGAATTCTAGACTTCTATTTTAGGTGGCTTGTTAACCATCCGACCTCTTTCTCTTTCTTTACCTGAGTCCAAGGGAATCTCTTTCTGGTTTGAGGCAAACTCTTTTGCCTTCCTAATTCATTGGGAAGCTCTATCCTGTTTGCAAATTACCTTCCGTTAATGAATGAGGCTTTCATCAAACAATGCACATAATTTTGTTAAATTTAGGGCAACATGAAAGACTAAGATGAAGTTCACACATGTACAAATCATGAGGTAATGAGACAATGTCAATTTTTTCACAGCTGCCTCCTGTAAAAAAGCTTATAAGATCCCTTAAATTATTAAGATGAATTATGATTTGAGAGAGTAAAATGTGAAAAATACATATCTTAAAATCTATAAAATATTTTACAAGAAGGAGCTCTTTCCACAAATATCCTCATTTAATTTAAGCTCTAAAAGAACTATCATCTTCTTTATTGCTATATTCCCAGTAACTAAAACAGCACCTCATATATAGTGAATATTCAATAAATCTATATTGATACATTAATTGTAATTTGGAATTAAAATATTCAGCCTATCCAATTTCTTTCTTGTCACCAATCATTGCTATTTTTCTTACTGGGAATAATTTTCAACTCACATTTTGGTGTTCTATCACAAACCAAGCTAGCACTTATATTTTCTTCCATATTAACTAAACTATCACTCATAATATTTGCCTTAGTTTTTCATTTCAGTTCTGATACTCTATATTCAATTATTTGTATCATCTGAATTGATATGAAATTAAGAATGGACTGATGATTTGACCCTGAAATGTCATGCAGAATAATTCAACATATGGATACAAAGGGAAAAAAGACCAAATTTTATTATTCTTCCAGATAAATGTGAAATTCATTTTTGACACTTTAATTTCTACTTTGCAACTTAGATCATTACCAAAATACAGCCACAAAATCAATCACTTCATTAGTTGTCATGAACATAGCTAACATTGTCAGATGATTCCAATTTTGTTCCACTTTTTAACATTGTGTTTGTAATGGTTGAATAGTGAACAATGACTAATACCTATAAAAAAAAGAAAAGTAATTTCATGAATTGAAATTTCACTTCCTCTTTTATTGTCAGGGTTAATTATGTAAGAGGACTTGTCTCAATTCTGAATAAAATTAAAATATTTCAATGGATCCCAAGTCTATTCCCTTCCAGTGAGTCAAATGTATTTCTATCCCTATTTGTCAATCAGACAGAAGGCTTTGGTCAACCAAAGTAATTTAAAAAACAAAAAACAATATAATGTGTTAATCTGCTACCATGTCTGTTTTGCTAGTGCTATTTGATTCTAAGCAAATAAAAAGTTTCGCTTCTGTTATCTGTGACAGAATCTCTCTTTAAATTGGTGTACTTATATTGAGGGCTACTGCTGAGTACTCTAGAGAAGTTTTACTCAAAGTTTGATGTGGGAGCCAGTGCTGATCTGCCAACTATTATCAATTGGCAGCCAAGTAACTATAAAAATTGAATAAAAACATTTAAAACCATCACACAGTAATGTTACATGTATTGAAAGTAACGATAAAACATTTTGAATTTTATTCTGTATTATTTTCTGTTTTAATTTTTAAATTAATTACTTTTTATTTTATTGTACAAAACATAACTTTGCAACAGATTGGAAATAGTAAATTTGGTCCTGCTACATGGATAGCTTGAGGACTACTATTATAGACTACTAGTGTTTTGTTTTTTAAACAAAAGCATTCACCAGGTGCAATGGCCGACACCTGTAATCTCAGCACTTTGGGAGGCTGAGGCAGGCAGATCACTTGAAGCCGAGAGTTTGAGACCAGTCTGGCCAATATGGTGAAACCTCGCCTTTACTGAAAATACAAAAATTAGCTAGGCATGGTGGCACATGTCTGTAATCCCATATACTTATACTTGGGAGGCTGAGGCATGAGAATCGCTTTAATCCAGGAGGTGGAGGTTGCAATTAGCAGAGATCACGTCACTGTACTGTAGCCTGGGCAACAGAGTAAGACTCTGTCTCAAAAAAAAAAAGTGCTAAGCCTTTAAATATATATTGTTAGTGAGTACTCAGCAAAATGAGCTTAATTCGTGTGTGTGTGTGTGTGTGTGTGTGTAAAGATAATTAAATCTGGTCATTTACATTTAATTTTAAAAGTAAAGAGTAGCCAAGAGCTTGATTATAAGACAGATTTTCTGAAGATTTTTTATTTTTGAAATACCCGATTCCCTTTGTTTATAAGGTTTCTTGTAGGTACATAGTATCACATTTACATCACTGTACTTGGTATACTGTTTTGCACAGTCAGTGGTTGAGTGTCATTAAGTTGTATGATATTAAATTACTTGTTATTTCTGGGCCTAGAAAATTACTGGTGTTTTAATCAGATTATGTGTACCAAAGATCTGTTTCTTGTTTTTCTATTGTAAAATCTGATTTCTATACCTAAAAAAAAACCTGATAAACAATCTATCACATAGATTAGATTGTCATTTTTATTTTTATATATTTTAAAAAATAAATGTGGCCAGGTGCGGTGGCTCATGCCTGTAATCACAGCACTTTGGGAGGCCAAGGCAGGTGGATCATGAAGTCAAGAGTTCGAGATCAGCCTGGTCAATATGGTGAAACCCCGTCTCTACTAAAAGTACAAAAATTAATCAGGCGTGGTGGCTTATACCTGTAGTCTCAGCTACTCAGGAGACTGAGACAGAAGAATCGCTTGAACCTGGGAGGTGGAGGTTGCAGTGAGCTGAGATACTGCCACTGCACTCCAGCCTGGGTGACAGAGTGAAACTCTGTCTCAAAAAAAAAAAAAGTGACAAATTCTAATTGATGAATGTATCTTTCCTCTGGCATACCATTTCTTCAAATGTATAACGATGTAAATTTCTAAGTATCAACAGAAGGCTACATTTTTTTAGTGGTGTTTTAATAGCTCATGAATATTTGACATTATAATTTTTGAAAATTAATGCGAAGAATAAACATGTGAAAAACATCTTTGACAAATGATAATATTTACAAATAATAATAAACAGGGTTGGTCATTAGCAAAGTTATAAAGTGTGTTGACCATCTCTCTACCCTTTTTTCCCCATATGCTCACAACCTGAACAGCCCTCTTGTTCTCCTGAATATATTGTCATCATCTTATATCACCTTTCCTTCACCCCACTTCATCAGGGCCCTAGTCTGTGTCATAAGGCAGTTTAGATACATTGATCAGGAAACTTGTAGGCAGATGCCCAAATTTGAATTTCAGCTTGTCTACTTACTGATTGAGTGGCCTTGGAAAAGTATGGTTGAACAGTTCTGTGCCTGAATTTTGACATCTGTGAAATGGGTGAAACTTTGCTTATTTCACAAGGTTGCTGCAAGGATTGAAAGAGTTATATTTCAGTAAAGCATTTATAAAGTGACTGGCACAGAGTAAACAATCAAAACATGTCATCACAGTAAGTAGAATGAGTTATTCAGGATATAATGACTTGTGCTACACTGGCAACTGACAAAAAAGTAACTTCTTTCAAATAATCTAACTAAGGTGATTGATTGGCATATTGACCAAAATGTTGTTTTATCTCACACACTTCTACTTCCTACCTTCCTCCATATCAGTACAGTGTAACTTGCAGTTCAGCCAATATTAAGAAATTCAAGAACAAAAAGAAGCCAGTGGAAGAGATAGTTTTGCTCAGAATAATTTTCTTTGGCAGACAGGAATGTTATTCTATATGATATTCTGTCTCTCTCTAGATACCATCTTAAACTCTTCCATTCAAGAAGCTTAAAGGCAAATGATTTTCTATGCACAGGCTTGATTCATCTAGCTTTCATCAGGAATAAGTAGTTCTGATAGGGACTATTATATTAACATTATTTTGGTCAAGGAAAGTAAACAGACTATTATTGAAAAGGGTTGTAAATGGCACGTTTTTACTTCTACTTGCTGTAAGTTATGAAGAGACTACTAACTCCTCAATAAACTCAAATTTCTAAAATGAAATTCATGATAATTTATACAGAGATTGTGTGGATATTAACTTATAAATTTTCTTTGTAAATGGTAAAAAAATTAATTAATTTTGAATTATTTATGGATCACATTAATTATTTAAGTAATTAATAATCACATAGAGCAAAGGTTTTCAAAAGCTTAAGCATTTATAATTCTAAAATTAATAATGATTCACCATAAGTTTATTATATATTAGTTTAAGCATGTCTGCTTGGTGCCTATTCTTAGTAATATTTGTATTTATTCATTAATTTGACTTAGTTATTGAGTATCTATTGTATCAGACACTATGTCAGGTACTGGGTACACAATATTGAGCAAAAATAAACATAGTACCCACCTTTAGGGATATCACATGAATTTTTAAAATACACTTATTTTAAAATTGTTTGTGTATTTCACTTTGCTGTAATACCTCCTTGCTTTTCTTTCCCCTCTCATTTATCCAAATTAATGAGATCAGAATATTTTGATCCAGACTCGCTCTCTCCCTGCATCCTTCCCTTGCTGAAGAGGTTTTAAAATATATTAAGAAAAATGGTATAAGCTACAGATTAATAAAATTGTGTTACTATAAGATTTCCAAGTAAAATTAATCAAAATGTGTGCCTTCAGCCAGGCTTCACTCTCCTGCTCAATAGATTTCCACATAACATCTGAGAGAATAGCACATTCTCTGCCTTAATGGGAGGCAAAAGCATAATCAGAAGACTAATTGGTGATCATAGAATCAGATCCAGGTTTTCAGTGCAATCACTGAAAATTTTTACTGATACGGGACTCAGAGAGCCTCAAAGGGCTATCTTCTACAATGGGACAAAGACTCCTGATGATGAGACTATGGAGGCAGTATAGGTCAAAACCTTGGGCCAGGGAAGTCTCAATCCCTTACTCGTGCTTGAGGTACATGGACAAGTTTTGCCATTGAAGCTGTTTATTTTTCCTGTGATAGAGGTAAGTGTCAGCTTGTCTATGTTGCTGTTTGTTATTATTTTTTGGAACACTGCCATGATGCTGGAAGTAATTCAGTCATCTATTGACCATAAGATGAAACACAATTGCTAACGATGTGCAAACAGAACCATATAGGGTGACAGAATTAGTGATAACATTGTGGAGTTACCATTCCAGTTCAGGGATACTTAAGTCCAGAATTCAAATGATCAAGAACAGCGTACCATAATGGCTTTGAGCACAGACTCTGAAATCAGACTGCCTGGCTTTAAAGCCTGATTTTGCTGATTATTATCTGCAGGATCTTGGGCAAGTTACTGAAACTCCCTGTTCCTGTTTCCTCTGTAAAATTAAGGAAAACAATGAACCTGCTTTCACATTATTGAGAATATTTGCTAAGTGGATTCATGTAACCACACATACTAGTGTCTGGCACATAAGAAGTACTTAATAACTTTTATTTATTATTCTCATTACATGGCAGACATACACCAAAAATAAAATTCTAAGCCCCCAACTGCCTGAATGGAACTCCTCTTGGCCAAGGAGAACTCAACAAAACCTGAAAAAAATAGTTCAGGCCATAATGAGAAGGGGGATTCAGATATGACTCATACCCTCTTCCCTTTGGTGTTTAGACACAATGGACCAGCACTAACATTAAAACAGAGCTCTTAAGACTGAGAAAACAGACTCTTTGTAGCAATAATTCTATGACCAAATTTCAACCTTACTGGTATAGCATCATATGACAGATAACAGTCCCTGAAGGAAATCAAAATATTTACCCCCAAATATATTTCTTTGACATATTCTGAAATGGCCCTGCAAATCTGTCCCTTGTGGGAAAAATTTGCATTCCGTAGAGAATCTTCTTCCCTTGCTAGGTCTTTCCCAGAGACTCTGATATCTTTTAAGGTCTGATAAGGGCCATTCACCATCTTTTCTTCCTAGAGTCTGCTACATGGAGGCTTCATGTACATGATAAAAACCTTGACTTCCACAACTTCCTTATCTAAACTCAAGCATTTCTTTATGCTGAATTCAGCTCTTCAGGGGGAATTGAGAATCAGAAAATCTTTACATCCGCCTATGACCTGGAAGCCACCACTTCAAGATGCCCCAACTTTCTGGGCTGAACCAATGTATAATTTATATAATTTATTTACTTTAAGGTATAATATATGTATACCTTACATATATTATTTATGTCTTTGCCTGCAACTTCTGTCTCCCTAGCATGTATAAAACCAAGGTGTAACCCATCACCTTTGGCACATGTTCTCAGGAACTCCTGAGGCTGTGTCATGGGTCATGGTCCTTAACCATAGCAAAATAAACCTCTAAACCTAGCAGGGCAGTCATAAAACTACAAATAATATCCTTTGACTCCATGTCACACATCCAGGCCACACTGATGCAAAGGGTGGGTTCCCAAGGCCCTGGGCAGCTACAGCCCTGTAGTTCTTTAGGTACAGCCCTCATGGCTGCCTTTAAGGGCTGGCGTTGAGTGCCCATGGCTTCTCTAGATGCACGGTGCAAGCTATCAGTGAATCTACCATTCTGGGGCCTGGGGGACAGTGGACCTCTTCCCACAGCTCCACTAGGCCGTGCCCTAGTGGGGACTCTGTGTGGAAGCTCTCAACCCCCATTTTCCCTCTGCACTGCCCTAGCAGAGGTTCTACATGAGGGCTCTGCCCCTGCAGCAGATTTCTGCCTGGACAATCAGGCATTTCCATACATCCTCTGAATTCTAGGCAGAGGTTCCCAAACCTCTATTTTTGCCTTCTGCACACCTGCAGGCCCAACACTGAGTGACAGCCACCAAGGCTTGGTGTTTTCACCCTCTGAAGCAATGGCCTGAAGTTTACCTTGACCCCTTATAGCCATGGCTGAAGCTGAAGCAGCTAGGACACAGGGCACCATGTCTCAAGGCTGCACAGAGAAGCAAGGCCCCGACCCACAAAACCATTTTTTTTCTCCTAACCTCTAGGCCTGTGATGGGAAGGTTGCAGCAAAGTTCTCTGAAATACCCTGGAGTCATTATATCCATTGCCATGGCTAATAACATTCAGCTCTTATTTACTTATGCAAATTTCTGCAGCCTTGAATTCCTCCTCAGAAAATGGGTTTTTCTTTTCTACTGCATAGTAGGACCGCAAATTTTCTAAAATTTTATGCTCTACTTCTCTTTTAAATATAAATTCTAGTTTCAGGTAATTTGTTTAAGCAAATGAGCATAGGATTTTAGAAGCAGCCAGGCCACATCTTGAATGCTTTGTTGCTTAGAAATTTCTTCCACTGGATACCCTAAATCATTTATCTCAAGTTCAAAATGCCACAGATCTCTAGAGCAGGGACACAATGCCACCAGTCTCTTTGTTAAAGCATAGCAAGATTGACCTTTACTCCAGTTCCCAATAAGTTCCTCATCTCCATCTGAGACCACCTTAGCCTGGACTTCACTGTTCATATCACTATCAGCATTTTGGTCACAGCCATTCAACAAGTCTCTAGGAAGTTCCAAACTTTCCCTCATCTTCCTGTCTTCTTCTAGTCCCTCCAAACTGTTCCAACTACTGCCCTTTACTAAGTTCCAAAGTCACTTCCACACCTTCAGGTGTCTTTATGGCAGTACCCCACTCTGTCAGTACTGATTCTCTGTATTAGTCAGTTCTCAAACTGCTGTAAAGAACTACCTGAGACTGGATAGTTTATAAATAAAAGATGTTTAATTGACTCACAGTACTCATACTGTACAGGGGCCATGGTTGTGGGGCCTCAGGAAACTTACAATCATGGTGGAAGGCAAAGTAGAAGCAAGCACATCCTCACATGGTGGCAGTAGAGAGAGATTAAAGGAGGAAGTATTACATACTTTTAAAAAAACAGATGTCATGATAACTCCCTCAGTCTCATGAGAAGAGAAAGGGGGAATTCTGCCCCCATGATCGATCACCTCCCACTAGATCCCTCCCCCAACGTTGGGAATTACAATTTGACATGAAATTCAGGTGGGGACACAGAGTCAAACCATATCATACAAGAATGTCTATACCAGTTTTATTCACAAGGGATAGCCCCAAACTTGAAATTAACTGCTGTTGTATGACATATAAGCCCCAGACTTAGTGGCTTATGACAACAAGCATTTACTTAGCTCACAGTTCTATAAGTCATCTGGGCAGTTTTTTTCTTGAAGAGAGGAGCCAGTAAATGATACCATAACAAGTATACATCACAGTGCTCAAGCAGATTAGACTGAAAATTACTCATTGACTTTGGCAATAAAGAAGTGTTTGGGGATCTTAAACATAAAATAATTTAATATACATAAATTTACATGTTCTATATACTCACTGTTAGAGTCAAAATTATATACAGTATTCCCTCTTTTCTCTGACATTATTAATAATAGAATGTTCTATTAAACATATTCAGGTTAATGATTCCAATATATGATCTAGAACAGTGTCTGGCACAGATTATGTACTCAATAAATGTCTACCTACATAAGTTTGCCAGTTTTATATAAATGGATTAAGATGAAAATATATCTACTCCTATACTAAACCAATATTTATATAAATGGATTAAAATGAAAATATATGTATTACTATACTAAACTGAATAGGTTGATGCAATTTGTTTTATTTCACCACTATTAGAGTCTGCCAGAAAGATCTTACTCTGTAAGCAAAGAATTCCATCATTTGGTTAGCATACCTAAGAAATGCTCCTCAGTATAAAATAATAGATATGGTGTTTTTTAATCCTATCATATTTTGTAGGAAGGGAAAGAAGAGGGTTCAGGTAAAGGCCATAATTCATCATGGGAACTAAATATTACACACTAGTTCCTGAAAGCATAGATATATTTGCCCCAGTTATTATAATAATAACAGGACCAACTTCCCGGATGGAGGTGTCTGAAAACATATTTTAAAATTTGGCTAATCTTCTTTCATATCCATATCTTGGACTTTTTTAGCTAATGGCATTTTGGAGATTTTTAGGTAATGACATATCTCCATGGATATAGCAAACAGTGCTAGTTGATGGAGTGCTGTATTGGTAATCTGCCCTATAGCAGAATTACCTCTACTACGAGTAAGAGTTAAGGAAGGCAACCTAATAATTTTGAGGCAGGTAATGTAGCAAGGATGATTTACATCACACACCTACAATCACAGGCACACATATGCGATCATAAAAATTGAAACTAAAAATATCACCATGTTGTTATATCTTTCAATTGGCTAAAAGATTTTATATTTATCACACCTTGCCTCCAATCACATTACTTGATGCTATAGAAAAATTGCCATGTTAAGTACCATTAAGAGCTAAGGAGTAGCATCTAAATTTTAATCCAGATTTAATATATAGTAATGTTTGTCTTATTAAAAGTTCTATGCTTAATTTCTTCCTTTTAGAAAACCCATTGATATTCTGAATACCAACCACATTGACATTCTCAACTGAAGGAAATTTAATTATTTTCCATTATTAGACTTTGTCTTTAACACAAGGGAAAAACTGGAAAGAAAACCAATAAAATGATATGAACTTCAAGTGCATGATGAGACATTAAAGATATAATTAAATCATGCACTTTGGCATTCATATACAATTTGTATTATTTATGTATAGAGGCACCTTAGCAATACACAGGAGCCTGGGTACCTGACCATCTATTCTAGTAAGGAATTCAATACAAGGCAAAACCAGAAAAAATTTATTCACCTCATGATGAAGACCCTGAGGACACCATGACAGCCATCCTCCAAGGTATTTTGCATTCACACAGTCTTTTGAGCACTTCAGAAGAAAGACATCTCATGTGAACTCTTCATGATTCTTCCTCTAGTCTTGGGAAACTCCTCCCCAAGTCTATTCCTGTGTTATCTCCTGTAGAGGATGCTTGCTCATATAGATTGCTGCTTCTTCCAATTATTTTATTCCATACTCTGAGAGAAGATTTTTTTAAATAGCACAGCTACATAGTGCTACTGATTGTTTTCCTCTTAAGCAAATTCAAGTGTAATTGTCTTTATACCCAAAAGACTGGGGTGATGAGTAGGGGTAGGCATGGCCAGTATGAAGCAAATAAAGTTTCTTTTTACCCACCCACTTCCCTCTAGTAATTTTCTTATGCTATTTGTCATCCCTGATCATTAAACTACACAAGCTTTTCTTTGATATTTTGTAGCTTACTTTTACCCTTAGAGACTAAGAAGCTTTTCAGCTACTTGGTAACCCAGTGCCCCATTCTCATGCAGAGGATGACTTGTTTCACCTTAGGGTCAACATCATTTGCTTCCAAACTTTCTAAAATAAGTTTTCTTCCCAATTTTCTTTTCAATCCTGTACTCTGAATGTATTTACCTGATAAAAATTGAGTACTAATATTAGACCTTCTAAAGATATGCTATCTAAAGCAGTGGTCCTAACATATCGATTTTAGCTTTTACAGCAGTCTGATGTGAGAGATATTTGGAGGTAGGTAGGCACTTCAGAACCTCTCAAAACCCATAATGTAGGCAGTCATCTATGATGAATATATGTAAAGTATCCTTGGGATTCAGCATTAAGTTCATTCATGGAAACTTGTAGAACTCACTTCTTAGGACAGTTGAGATACTAATACAGGATTTCTTCCAAGTTGTAATCTAATGCATTCATTAATAAAAACATTAAATTCAAAGTCCTGGTTGGTCCTTGCACTCCATCACAGGGGATGTTCCATGTGAATGAGTGAGGAAATCCTGAGGCCTTATCTACCAGCAGAATTGGGTGAAGAGACACCGGAGGGAGGAATCTCAGTCCCCAAAGAAAATAGCCAGCCGGCAGGTAGCTGTGGGGCAGAAGTGGAGTGTGCAGGGTGGCACCCTGAGTGGCCTCAGTTGCAGCAGTAGCAGCAGCACAAACACAGTTCTGGCCAAGGAGGTGGCTTAAGCTGTTGGTAAAATTGGGCAACAGCTCTTTCTCCATAGTACATGAGTTGACAAAAGAAAGGACAAGGTTCCCGTTACAATCTCCTTCAGGCTTTTTTCCCTTGCCACTCGGAGCTGATTTGTACGAAAACATGCTTTGCACTTGTACCTGGAGGAACTGGAGACAGTGGGTTCGAACTTTAGCGGTGGTCATCTACCTGGTGTCCATAGTGGTTGTGGTTGCCTTATGCATATGGGGATTACAGAAACTGGAGATTCAAATGCACACCAAAGGCTTAGTTTATTGCTGCAATTGTTTTTGCTGTTGACAATATCTATATCGTTATGGGTTATATTGCTACAGTTAGTGCATTATATGCAACCTAAACTACAAAAACCAATCATAAGGATTCTTTGGATGGTACCCATTTACAATTTAGATAATTGGATACTCCAGCATTGCAATATATGTGCATACCTGCAGAGAATTCTATAAAGCTTATGTCATTTACAACTTTATGAGATTCCTTACCCATTATCTAACTAACCATTATCCAAATCTGGTACTAATTACTGAAACCAAATATCAGCAGAAACATTTTCCTCCTCTATGTTGCTGTCTACCATAGACTACGGTAGAAGTATTGCTGTTTAGGCAAACTAGGTATATTGCAGTATACAGTTGTCAGACCATTCACCACCATCATTGTTTTAATCTGTGAACTGCTTGCTATATATGATTAGCTTTTCATATACTTAGACTTATTTGGTTATGATAAACAACATGTCACAATTGTTTGCCATGTAGTGTCTTCTGCTATTTTACAAAAAACTAAAGGAAGAACTGAGCCTAATCCAACATGTTGGCAGATTTCTTTGTGTAATGCTGGTATTTTTTGTTTCTCTTTGGCAAGTAGTAATTATTGCTTTGATGGTAAAATTTGGCATTATTTGTGAAAAGCATGTATGGAAATGGCAAACTGTAGAAGCTGTGGTTCTAGGACTCCAGGACTTTATATCTGCATTGAGAGTTTCCTTGTTGCTATTGCCCATCACTACACTTTCTCATTAACCATATCTCCAAGAAACAGAACACGGCTCATGCTCTGATTCCTTCCTTGCCATGTGGGATGTTTCAGATATTAGTATTTTTGAACAAGTAAGGCATGTTGGATGGACAGTCAGGAGACATCATAGGAAAAATTTGTTTCCCGAGGATCACAATCAGAATGAGCATACAAGCTTATTATCATCATCATGGAGATGCAATTTCCACTGCCTGTTTTATGTCACTTTAATCCATGGGTCACTATAAGGATTTGGACACACTGAGACTCCCCAGACTACAGCTATTATGCCTAAAATATCTGATGAAATACTTAGTAATACTATAGGAGAGAAAAAAATTCAGATAAATCTCTGGATTCCTGAACAGTGTGGAAATCAAACTGTGCAACTATATTGTACCATTACCTGGTATTCCATGGCTCAGGATTTTGTGCTTGGGAAAAACCATGAATAATGGGAAATTTCAACACAAAAATAGCTGAAATCCAGGTACAATTACTGGAGAGATATATATATACACATATGTTTTGTACATCAAAAGTAATCTGTCTAAATTTCCTAGACCTCGACTTGATTTCTTAACATTAGAGTATCATATAATCAAATGACAGAAAAGGACACAACTAAACCTTCCTGATGTTAAATTGCTTTATCAAGAGAAGGACATTAAAAAATCAGTGCTTCCTACTACTGCTGCATGAATATAATGTTCTGTAATTAACAGAAAGCATAATGCAGAAATATAAATTAGTGGAACTTAATCATAATCATGTGCCGTATAAGCTTACCTGATAATTATTTCCCTATTCCTCAACTCAATGTGTTTCAATAAAGGAAAATTCATCCGTAAAAACCATTAAATTATATTTCTGTTGTGAAAACCACAGACCATTGAACTTGATATCCTTTTTGTCAGTATTATTGAACATACAACTAAAGATATGATCACTAAACACAATAGCTAATATTATTGAGCCTTGATTCTAGACATACATTACCTCATTTAATCTTCACAAACACCATATAGAGTAGGTTCTATTATTTTCTAGATTACAATGTTAAGGGAATAGAGGTTCCAAAAGGTTAGATAATTTTCTCAATATCGCACAGTTAGTAGACAGCGGAATGTGGATTGAACCCAAATCCTTATGATTCCACCGTTTTTATGCATAGCCCCTATACTACACAGTTTCCATGTTTGTAATTAGTATGAATTCATCAAGTACCTATGCCACAAAACACATATCATATAAACAAGCTCATTTACTTATCAAGTCATGGAACTACGAAAAAAGACAACCACATTTATATCTGGATTTCAGCAACACATTCGACAGTTTTTTTGTGATAGTTCTATAAACAACAATAAGAAAATATTGATTTCCAAAACAATAAAAGAGGTGAAATTGTAATTACTGAAATATTTTACCCAGAATATTGTTACCCAGAATACATTACCCAGAATGTCCTTGGTTCTTTTCTCATGAACATTTTTATCAGAGATTTTTATGGAAAGTATAAACTAGAAATCATAAGCCAATGTCACATAGGCTGAATATAACCTTCATATACTGTTACTTTGGCTTCCCCAATATTTTCAAATATTTTGAAATCAGTTCCTAAAGATAAAACAGATCATTATTTTGAACCCATTTTCCATGGCTGAGGAATTTATCACCTTAAGGCACTACTCACTCTCCACAATAAAAGATGAAAACATCTTTTACTCAACTTTCAGTGAAGGTGCAGTCATGTGACCCAGGCTCTAGCAAGTAGACTTGTCCATTTTATAGCCACTTATAAGTTACTTATTTCACCTAATATAAGACAACATCCACTAAAAGGCACACCAGTACTATTTGTTCCATTAAGAAAATTTTAAAAATGCTTCCAATTAAACTATGCTATTGATTGTAATATGTTATGATTTCATAGCTATTAAAATATGAAAAGTATGTGTCTTAAAATTAAGTGTAATTATACTACAAAATTAAGTAAATTAAGGTAATTATACTAGGAAATGAGGATTTGATAGCATCAAGCCTGATTAACTGAAAGTAGTAGTGGCAGTAGCTATATCATTTCCACAGGCAGCTGTTTCAGTAATATGCCCAATATCTAGTATCAGTGATGTTACCTATGGAATTTACAGTGTTTAGGACTAACGGTGGTGTCAAATGGTATCTACAAGGAGAAAGTTCTGCTACATTATTTAAGACATTATATTTTGCTACATAATGTTTAATACAGGTTTTTCAGACGTCCTTAATATCCTGTAATCTATTCGGTCTTATTTTTGTGATTACATATATGTAACATAAAATTCACCACTTCAACCATTTTTAGTGCACAATTCAGTGGTTTTTGGAATATTCAAAATGTTGTGCAAGCATCATCACTATCTGTTTACAAGATGTTTTTATTACTCCAAACAGAAACTCAGTAAGCATTAAGCAACAATTTCCTGTTCCCTTTCTCCCTATCCCCTGGTAACGTGTAATCTGTATTGTGTATCACTGAATTTTCCTATTCTAGATATTCCATATAAGTAAAATAATACACTATTTTTCCTGTAATATCTACTTCATTTCATTTAGCATAATGTTTTTTCAAGGTGCACTGATGTTGCAGCCTGTATCAGAACTTCATTCCTTTTCTAGGCTAAATAGTGTTCTGTTCTATAGATATAAAACTTTAGTTTATCCATTCATCTGTTGATGGACACATGGGTTGTTTCTACCTTTTGGATGTTGTGAAAAATGCTGTTATGAATGTTTTGCCTACTTATCTCTTTGAACTCCTGTTTTCAAGTTTTGGGGTACATGTTAGCAGTGGAATTTCTGGGTCATATATTAATTCTACGTTTAATTTTTGAGGAACTACCAAACTCTTTTCCACAGAAACTCTAGCATTTTACATTCCTATCTCCAGTGCTTGTGAGTTTCAATTTCTCTATATTTCCTACAAAACTTGGCATTTTCAATTTGTTTGGTTATAGCCATGCTAGTAGGTGTGAAACGGTATTTTTGAGATTTTGATTTGTACAGACATATCTTAGAAATATTGTGGGTTCAGTTCTGGACCACTGCAATAAAGTCAATATCACAATAAAGTAAGTCATACAAAATATTTGGTTTCCCAGTGTATATAAAAGTTATGTTTACATGAATCTATAGTTTATTAAATGTGCAGAAACCTTATGTCTAAAAAATGTATACCTTAATTTAAAAGCACTTTATTGCTAAAATATGCTAACAATTATCTGAGCTTTCAGCAAGTCATGATCTTTTTGCTGGTGGAAGGTCTTGCTTAGATATTGATGGCTGCTTACTGCTCAGGGTGGTGGTTACTGAAGGTTGAGGTGTTTGTAGCAATTTTTAAAAATAAGACGATAAAGTTTTCTGCATTGATTAACTCTTCCTTTAACAAAATATTTCTCTGTAGCATGAGACATTGTTTGTTAGAATTTTATCCACAGTGGAACTTGCTTCAAAATTGGAGTCAATCCTCTCAAATCCTGCTGCTGCTTTATCAACTAAGTTTATGGAATATTCTAAATCCTCTGTAATCATTTCGACAATGTTCATAGACTCTTCTCCAGGAGTATGTTCTATCTTAAGAAACCACTTTCTTTGCTTATCCATAGGAAGCAAATCCTTGTTTCTTAGAGTTTTATGAGGAGAGTGCAGCAATTCAATCACATTTTCAGGCTCTGGTTCTAATTCTAGTTCTCTTGGTATTTCCACCACATCTGCTGTTACTTTTTTCCACTGAAATCTTGAACCCCTGAAAGTCATTCATAAGAGTTGGAATCAACTTCTTCAAAATTCCTATTAATATTAATATTTTGACTTCCTCCCATGCATTACAAATGTTCTTAATCCCATATAAAATTGTGAATCCTTTTCAGAATTTTTTTCAGCTAACTTTGCTCAGATCCATCAGAAAAATCACTATCTCTGGCAGCTACAGCCTTATGAAATGTATTTCTTGATAAGACTTGAAAGACAAAATTACTTCTTAATCCATGGGCTGCAGAATGTATGTTGTGTTAGCAGGTGTGACTACAACTTAATCTCCTGTGCACCTCCATCAGAATTCTTAGGTAACTAGGTGTTTTGTCATTAAGCAGTAATATTTTAAAAGAAATCTTTGTTTTTCTGAGCAGTGGGTCTCAACAGTGGGCTTAAAATATTTAGGAAACGATGCTGTAAGTAGATGTGCTGTCATCCATGCTTTGGTGTTCCATTGATAAAACATAGGCATACTTCTTAAAGGACCTAGAATTTTTGGAATAGCACATGAGCACTGGCTTCAACTTAACATCATCAGCTACATTAGCCCCTAACAAGGGAGTAAGACTATCCTTTGAAACTTTGAAGCCAGCCATTGACTCCTCCTCTCTATGAAAGCCCTAGGTGGCATCACTTGCTTTGTCTATATTGAAAACTTATTGATTAGTGTAGACACTTTTGTTAATTATTTCATCTAGAACTTCTGGAGAACTTCCTGCAGCTTCTACATTAACACTTGCTGCTTTACCTTGCATTTTTATGTTGTGGAGATGGAATCTATCCTTAAATCATATTAACTAATCTTTGCTAGCTCCAGATTTTTCTTCTGAAGGTTTCTCACGTCTATCTGGCTTAATAGAAGTGAAAAGAGATAAGGTCTTGCTCTGGATTAGGTTTTGACTTAAGGAAAACTTAAGTGGCTGATTTGATCTTTTAGCTAGACCACTAAAACTTTCTCCATATCAGCAATAATGCTACTTCACTTTCTTATCATTCACTAGGTAGCATTTTTAGTTTCCACTAGGAACCTTTTCTTTGCATTCATAATTTGGCTAACTGTTGCAAGAGGCTTAGCTTTCAGCCTGTCAACTTTTGACATGCCTTCCTCACAAAGCTTAATCATTTCTAGCTTTTGATATAAAGTAAGAAATGTGTGCCTCTCCCCTTTACTTGAAAACTTAGAAACCATTTTAGCGTTCTTAAATGGCCTAATTTCAATATTGCTGTGTCTCAGGAAATAGGCAGGTCTGAGGGAGAGAGATGGAAGAATGGTTGGTTGGTGGACCAATCAGAACACACAGAACATTTATTAAGTTCACAAACTTTTATGGGCATAGATCATGATTCCCTGAAACAATTACAATAGTTACATCAAAGATCGCTGACTACACATCACCAGAATAGATAAAATTATGATAATAAAATTCAAAATGTGAAAATTACCAAAATGTGACACAGAGACACAAAGCGAACACATGCTGTTGGAAAAACGATGCTGATCAAATTGTTCAGGGTCGCCACAAACTTTCAATTTGTAAAAGTCACAATATCCGTAAAGATCAATGAAGTGAAGCACAATGAAAAGTGATATGCCTTTATTTCCTTAATGATTAATGATGCTGAATAACTTTGCATGTGCTTACTTCCATATTCTTTATAGAAATGTCTATTTAACTCGTTTGGGCACTTTTTGATTAGGTTGCTTGCCTTTTTGTGGTTGACTTGTGATTTAAAACATAATTTAATTATTAAACAATTATCAGATATCTGATTTATAAATATTTTGCAAACATTTGTAAATATTTTTTCACAGTATGTGGGTTATCTTTCTACTCTTTTGAGTAGTATCTTTCAATGCACAAAAGTTGCTAATTTTGATGGAGTACAATATATCTATTTTTGTTATTACCTATGCTTTTGGTGTCATATTTAATAAACTATTGTCAGTTCAAAGGTTTTGAAGATTTGCCTATAAGAGTTTATCTCTTTGGTTCTTAAATATGGAGTTTTGATATATTTTCAGTTAATTTTGTATCTAGGCTAAGGGTCTAAATTTACTTTTTGAAAATGTGAATATAGTTTTCTCAGCAACATTCATGGAAGACATTTTTCTTTGCCCTATTGAATGGTTTTGGTACTCTTGCCAAAAATCAATTGATAATGAATATAATAATTTACCTTTAGGTTCTCAATTTTATTCCATTGGTCCATAAGGCTATCATTATACCAGCTCAAAACTGTTTTGATTACTGTAGCTTTGTAGTACATTTTGAAATATGGAAATGTGAGTATTCCAACTTTGTGACTCATATTCAGTATTATTTTGGCTATTCTGTGTCCCCTGAATTTTCATATAAATTCTAAGTTAGTGCAATAGTTAATTTTGTGTGTCATCTTGGGTAAACAGCAGTAATCACGTATTTAATCAAACATTATTCTAGACATTTTAAAGGTATTTTTAAAAATTTAATTTAATTTAATTTTAAGTTCCAGGATACATGTGCAGGATGTGCAGGTTTGTTACGTAGGTAAACATGTGCCATGGTGATTTGCTGCACCTATCAGCCCATCACCTAGGTAATAGGCCCTGCATGCATTAGCTATTTATCCTGATGATCTCCCTCCCCTGCCTCCCCTGACAGGCCCCAGTGTGTGTTGTTCCCCTTCCTTTGTTGATGGTGTTCTCATTGTTCAGCCCCCACTTATAAGTCAGAACATGTGGTGTTTGGTTTTCCGTTCCTGTGTTAGTTTGCTGAGGATATTGGCTTCCAGCTCCATCTATGTCTCAGCAAGGGACATGATCTTATTCCTTTTTATGGCTGCATAGTATTCCATGGTGTATATGTACCACATTTTCTTTATCCAGTCTATCATTGACGGGCATTTGGGTTGATTCCATGGTCTTTGCTATTGTGAATAGTGCTGCAATGAACATACTCATGCATGTATCTTTATAATAGAATTATTTATATTCCTTTGGGTATATTCCCAGTAATGGGATTGCTGGGTCAAATGATATTTCTGGTTCTAGGTCTTTGAGGAATTGCCACACCGTCTTTCACAATGGTTGAACTAATTTACATTCCTACCAACAGTGTAAAAGTGTCCCTGTTTCTGTACAGCCTCTCCAGCATCTTTTGCTTTTTGCTCAACATCACTGATCATTAGAGAAACACAATTCAAAACCACAATGAGATATCATCTTATTTTTAAATGTATTTTAAAGATGAGATTAACATTTAAATCAGAAGACTTTGAGTAAAGCAGATTGCCTTCCATAATGTAAATAGGCATCATCCAATCAGTTAAAAGCCTTAACAGAAAAAGATTGAACTCGTTGAAAGAAGATGGAATCTTCCAGCAGACTATCTTCAGACTCGAACTACAGAATCAATTCTTTCCTGTGTTTTCAGCCTACTGCCACATCCCACAAATTTTGGACTTGCCAGACTTCACAATTGCATGAACCAATTTCTTAAAAATCTATCTCTTTCTTTATCTCTCTGTGTCTCTCCAGATACACAGATGAACCTCTTATTGGTTCTGTTTCTTTGGAGAACCCTTATAAAATCAGCTTGTTAATTTCTTCAAAAAATGACTTTGGTTAGCCAGTTTTCTCAGCATCGTTTATTGAATAGTGAGTTCTTTCCCCGTTGCTCATTTTTGTTGACTTTGTCTGAGATCTATTGGCTGTAGGTATGCAGTTTTATTTGGGGGCTTTCTATTCCATTCCACTGGTCTATGTGCCTATTTCTGTGGCATTACAATTCTGGTTTAGTTACTGTAACCATGTAGTATAGTTTGAAGTCAGGTAATGCAGTTCCTCCAGCTTTGTTCTTTTTGGTTAGGATTGCTTAGGCTATTTGGATTCTTTTTTGGTTCCACATGAGGTTTGAAATAGTCTTTTCTAGTTCTGTGAAAAATAACATTGCAGAAGAATGAAACTGGACCTCTACCTTTTACCATATATAAAATTAACTCAAGATGGATTAAAGACTTAAATTTATAAGACATCAGATTATAAAAATCCTAGAAGAAAACATAGAACATGCTCTTCCCAATATTGGCCCAGGCAAAGAATTTATGACTAACTCCTCAAAAGTAATTGCAACCAAAACAAACATTGACAAGTAAGACCTAACTAGACTAAAGAGCTTCTGCACAGCAAAAGAAACTATCCACAGAGTAAACAGACAACCTACAGAATGGGAGAAAATATTCACAAACTATGCACCCAACAAAGGACTAACATCCAGAATTTATAAAGAACTTAGACAAATCATAAAGAAAAAAAAACAAATACTCCCATTAAAAAGTGGACAAAGGACAAAAACGGACACTTCTCAAAAGACAACATGTAAGCAGCCAACAAACATAGGAAAAAATACTTAACATAGCTAACCATCAGAGAAATTCAAATCAAAACCAAAATCAAATACCGTCTCACATTAGTCAGAATAGCTATCCTTAAAAAGTCAAAATATAACAGTTGTTGGTGAGGTTGTCAAGGAAATCCTTATACACTGTTGGTGGGAATGTAAATTATTTCATCCCCTATGGAAAGCTGTTTGTAGATTTCTCAAAGAACTGAAAATAGAAATGGTAATTCAACTCAGCAATCCAATGACTGACCATATACCCAAAGGAAAATAAATTGTTCTATGAAAAAGGCACATGGACTTGTATGTTTACCACAGCACTATTCACAATAGCAAAGACATGAAATCAAACTAGGTGCCCATCAGTGATAAATTGGATAACGAAAATGTGGTACATATACACCATGGAATAGTACACAGTCATAAAAAAGAAAAAAATCATGTCCTTTGCAGCAACATGAATGCAGCTGGAGGCCATTATTCTAAGCAAATTAACACAAAAACAGAAAAACAAATATTGCACGTTTTCACTTATAACTGGGAGATAAACTCTGGGTTCACATAGACATAAAGATAGTAACAATAGACTCTGGGGATTACAAAAGGAGGGAGGGGAACAAAGCCTGAAAAACTTCCTATTGGGGACTATGTTCACTGTCTGGGTGACTAGATCTAGAGCAGCCTAAACCACACCATCACACAATATATCCTTGTAACAAACCTGCACATGTAACCTCTGATTCTAAAATTAAAATTAAAATTAAAAAAATGTAAATAGCAGCAATTTCCCATTAAAATGCCATTGGTGTTTTTATTAATGTTTATTTAATTTATTTTTAACACATATTTAAGGTTCATAGCATAATGTTTTGATATACATGTGCATAGTGAAATGATTAGCATAGTCAAGTTAACATATCCATTGCCTTCCATAGTTACATTTTTTGTGGTAAGACCACCTAAAATCTAATCTCTTACCAAATTTCAATATATAATTCAATATTATTAACCGAATCCTGTACATCGTATTTCATTTTCATCCAACTCCGATCAGAAATCATGCTTTGTAAAATTTCAGTCTTTTAAAATTTATTAAAACTTGTTCTGTGCTATAACACACAGTCTTTTTGGAGAACGTTCCGTGCATTTTGGAGAAGACTGTGTTTTTTGCTGTTTTGGGGTAGATTGTCCTAAATATGTCTGCTAGGCTAGGTTTAGGTGGTTTATACTGTGGTTCAAATTCTCTATTTCCTTATTAATCTTTTCTCTCATTGTCTACTCATTATTAAATATGAGATATTGGTCTGTTAGTAATACTCTAGAACTGTCTATATCTCTCTTCTATTCTGCCAATGTTTGCGT
This sequence comes from Homo sapiens, assembly GCF_000001405.40. Lineage (NCBI taxonomy): Eukaryota > Metazoa > Chordata > Mammalia > Primates > Hominidae > Homo > Homo sapiens. Next base: position 88,052,390 of record NC_000023.11, on the reverse strand, counting down.
CACATATTTCTGGAAATTTCTTGTTAGGTGTATATATGTTTACAATTGTAATATCTTTTATATGGATTTAACATTTATTAATATGGAATCTCCTATTTACTTTTAATATTTTTTACTTAAAATGTCTTTTATTTACTATTGGCATGAATATCTTTTTCTATATTTTTTACTTTCTATCTTTTTTCTTTATTACTAATGAGACAAGGTGTTCTTGTAAACAGAATACAAACTAATCATGTTTTTTATTAATTTTGCCAATTTCTTTTAATTGGACAGTATAATCTATTTTATTCAAATAATTACAGATAAAGAGATACTTACTTCTGATACTTTGCTATTTGTTTTTTGTAGTTTTTATATATTCATGTTCCTCAATTCTTCTATTAGTGCTTTTTTAAGTATTTGGTTGGTATTTTGTATTGTAATACTTTGATTCTCTTTTTTCTCTTTTCTGTATGTTTTTGTTACTTTCTTAATTATTAGCTTGATAATGACAATTAACGTACTAAACTTATAACTACCTAGTTTCAATAATACCAACTTTGTATACAAATACTCTGCTCCTATGAAGATACAGCCCTGCTTCTTTATATTATCACGGATTATGTCTTTATACATTATGTACCTATTAACGTAGATTTATGTTATTATTTCATGCATTTCACTTTTAAGTTATATAGGGAAAAAGAGAACTTACAAACTAAAAGTACAATCTTACTGGCTTTTATATTGTCCTACATATTTACCTTTACTCTTTTTTTAAAATTTTTGTCTAGTTTTTTTTTCTTTTCTACCTGAAGGACTCCCTTTAGCATTTCTTGTAGGGCAGGACTAATAGTTTCAAACTCTCTTAACTTTTGTTTATCTAGGAATGTCTTAATTTCTCCTTTAGTCTTGAAGTATAGTTTTCCCAGATACTGAATTATTGGAGGACATTTTTTTTCTTCCTTTCAACACTTGAAATATGTCATCCTACTACTTCCTGTCCTTCATGGTTTCTGATGAGAAATCAACTGTTGATTTCATTGAGGATTCGTTGTACCTAGTCAGTCACTTTTCTCTTGCTACTTTCAAGATTCTCTTTTAGTTTTTGTCTTAATGCAATATGACTATAATGTGGATCTTTTATAGGTTATTCTGCATGGAGTTAGTTAAAATTTTGCATGTGTAGATTAACATATTTTATCAAATTTGCAAGGTTTTTAGCCATCAATTATTTGAACATTATTTTAAAAGAATTTTTAAAATTTTTAAATTTTGGTGAAATCCATTATACCTATATTTCTCTTTTGTTGCTTGTGCTTTAGGTGTCATATTCAATAAATTATTGTCATTTCAAAGATGATTAAAGATTCTGCATGTTAGACCTTTGTCAGGTGCATAGTTTGCAAATATTTTCTCCCATTCTGTATATTGTCTGTTTACTCTGTTGATAGTTTATTTTGCTGTGCAGAACCTCTTACATTTAATTAGGTCTTATTTGTCAAATTTCATTTTTGTTGCAATTACTTTTGAAGTCTTTGTCATGAAGTTTTTGCCTTGGCTGATGTTCAGAATGGTATTTCCTACATTTTCTTCTAGGGTCTTCATAGTTTTAGGTTTTACATTTAAGTCTTTAATCCATCTTGAGTCGATTTTTGTAAATGGTGAAAGATAGGGATCCAGGTTCAATCTTCTGCATATGGCTAGCCAGTTAAGCCATCAGCATTTATTGAATAGGGAGTCCTTTTCCCCTTGCTAGTTTTAGTCAGTTTTTTGTAGATCAGATGTTTCTAGCTTTATTCTTAGGTATTTTATTCTTTTGTGGCTACTGTGAATAAGATTGCATTAAAGATTTGACTCAGCTTGGATGTTGTTGGTATGTGGAAACGGTAATGAGTTTTGTAAATTCATTTTGTGTCCTGAAACTTTGCTGAAGTTGCTTATTAGATCTAGGAGCCTTTCGGCAGGCACTATAGAGTTTTCTAGATAGAGTAGCATATTGCCTATGAAGAAAGAGAGTTTTACTTCCTCTCTTCCTATTTGGATGCCTTCTGTTTCTTTCTCTTGCCTGATTGCTCTGCCTAAGACTTCCAGTACTATGTTGAGTAGTAGTGGTGAGAGTGAGCATCCCTGTCTTGTTCCAGTTGTCAAGGGGAATTCTTACATCATTTGCCCATTCAGTATGATGTGGGCTGTGTGTCTGTGATAGAGGGCTCTTACTATTTTGAAGTATGTATCTTCAATGCTTAGGTTATTGAGGATTTCTAACATGAAGGGATGATGAATTTTATGGAAAGCCTTTTCTGAAACTATTGAGGTGATCATGTGATTTTTATTTTTAGTTCTGTTTTTGTGATGGATCACATTTATTGATTTGTGTATGTTGAAAGAAACTTTCATCCCAGGAATAAAGCCTACTTCATCATGGTGGATAAGCTTTTTGATGTGCTGCTGGATTCAGTTTGCCTGTATTTTGTTGAGGATTTTTGCATCGATGTTCATCAAGGATATTGGCCTGAAATTTTCTTTTTTGTTATGTGTTTGACAGTTCTTTGTTATCAGGATGGTGCTCGACTCATAGAATGAGTTATGGAGGAGTCCCTCCTGCTTAACTTTTTGGATAGTTTCAGTGGAATTTGTAACAGTTCTTCTTTACATATCTGGTAGAATTTGGCTGTGAATCTGTGTAGTCCAGGACTTCCTCTGGTTGGTAAATTTTTTATTCCTGATTCAATTTCAAAACTCATTTTTGGTCTGTTCAGGTATTCAATTTCTTCCTGGTTCAATCTCAGTAGGTTGTGTGATTTCTAGAAAGCATCCATTTATTCTAGATTTTCTAGTTTGTGTGCATAGAGGTGTTCATAATCTTTTCTGAGTTTTTTGTTTGTTTATGTGGGATAACTTTGTCATTTCTGATTATTGTTACTTGGATTTTCTCTCTATTTTCTATATTGTTTTAGCTAATGGTTTACCAAAATTATTCCTTAAAAAATAAACTTTTGGTTTTGATTTATCTGTATGGTTTTTCTCATGTCCATTTCATTCAGTTCAGCTCTGATATTGGTTATTTCTTTTCTTCTTCTGCTATCTTTGGGGTTCATTTTCTCTTCTTGTTTATTAAGTTTTTCTATGCAAAGGACATGAAAAAACACTTCTCAAAAGAAGAGATGCACACAGCCAATGAGTATATGAAAAAATGCTCAATATCACCAATCAGGGAAATGCAAATCAAAACCACAATGAGATACCGTCTCATTGGCACTGGAGGCCATGGTTCTAAATAAATCAACACAGGAACAGAAAACCAAATATTGCATATTCTCACTTATTAGTGAGAGATAAACACTGAGCATATACGGATGTAAAGAAGGGAACAATAGACACTGGGGCCTGTACAAAGGTAGAGGATAGAAAGAGGATGACAATTGAAAAATTACCTATTGGGTCTTATGCTGATTACCTGGTTGACAAAATTATCTGCATACCAAACCGCTGCAAATGGCTATTTATTCACGTAACAAACTTGCATATGTATCCCTTGAACCTAAAATAAAAGTTGGAAAAAACTAAATAAATAAAAGTTTATGAAAATTTATCCTTAAGATTTTAAATTTTGATCTTAAATTTTGTTTTTTCATGCATTTTAAATTAATTTTTGTATATGGCTAAAGGTAAGGGGTTATATTTACTTAAAGCCAGTATAGTCCAAAAAAAGTGGTTATAAATTTGTGGTCTTAAGACCAGCAGCATCAGCATTACCTTGAAACTTGTTACAGATGCAAGTTCTTAGGCTCTACACCTATTAAATCAAACACTCTGAGTGTGGGTTCCAGCAATCTGTGCTTTAATAAACCCTCCAGGAGATTTTGATGCATGAAAAAGTTGGCCAGGTGTGGTCGCTCATGCCTGTAATCCCAGCACTTTGGGAAGCAGAGGCAGGCGGTAAGGTCAGAAGTTCAAGACCAGCATGGACAGCATGGTGAAACCCTGTCTCTACTAAAAATACAAAAATTAGCTGGGCATGGTGGCATGCGCCTGTAGTCCTAGCTGCTCGGGAGACTGAGGCACAAGAATAGCTTTAACCCAAGAGGCGGAGGTTGCAGTGAGCCGAGATTGCACCACTGCACTCCAGCCTGGGCGACAGAGTGAGAATCTGTCTCAAAAAAAAAAAGTTTAAGAACCATCTAAATGCGTTCGGTTTTTTTGGCTTATTCATTTTCTACAAGTAAAAGCAAAAATCATTATTTCAATTTAGATTGTTGTTATTCTACACTCATTTCAGTATAATTCACTTTTCAAGCAATTATGAGTTAAGTCTTTAACCAGAATCTGTAATGTAAACAATAGTAAATTCCACTTACAAAGAAGATTTTGCATTACAAAGAAAAAAAATTATTACAGAACATGAAAAATTAGCATAGAAAATATGAATACTGACCCCATCCTGTTGCACAATTATTTGTATATTTAATGAAATTCAGAAAAAAGTATTCATTGTCCTTAAAGTAACATGACCTATATTTTTTAATAAATTGTAGAAATTAACGATTGTATATGTTGTCATTTTATTGCTTACAGTTTTGAGTCTTAATAGAACAGAAAGTTAGAAGACATGATGTCACTAGAATGCTAACTATTCCAAAATATTAAAGATAAACTGTATAAGGCACATTTCTTTAATAATATTGTATTATGTTTTTTAAAGATAAACTAGGAATTTTATCACATAGAAATCTTCATAAAAGGATTAAACACCTAAAGGATTTTGAGATATCTTTTAACACAATTTCTTGTCCCTTTATTTACCTTCTGGATGAAATAATGCATCTTTATGAAGTTTCTAAAATAACAACATGACAAAGACACCATTACAGATATAAAATTAACCACAGTTTTGCCTTCTAAGACACTATTTTTTTTTTTTTTACAGATTTACTTGTCAAGTTTTGGATGGGTATAGTAACTGATAGGTTAAAAGAGATAAAAAGTAAACTACTTATTCAGCCAATTGTGGTTTTTTTCTGTTCAAAATATAAATTTGTATTCAGTATATACTTACCCTTAGAGCCAGGACAGAGTTTTATTCATCTACCTTAAAAAACTAGAAAACAGGGCAATATATATTAAACAATAATCATAAACACGGAATAACAAACAGCAAAAACAGCAATCTTTTATAGAACAGAAAAAAATAAGATGAGCCCTTTTATTGCCTCAGCTTATGTATGAAGAACATCTGCAATGTGGAGTGCACAGAGACCAAGGTTATGACTCCTTTGAAGAGCCAAAATTCACAGTTCAGGGAGGCAAATATGGCTAAAATTCTTCCCCAAAAGCCTGAGAAATTATAGATATACATAAATAAAGCTCCAGAAATGTATACTGGGGTTTCTTTGAATCTGAGTCCTGGCTCAAAAGGGTGAGAAAAAGTACCAGAATACAGGAAATAGCCACTGCAAAGGAGAAGGTGAAAAAAATCTCTGGGACTCACACCGGTTGGAGAATAATTGTGTTTTTTCCAACTAGAATGGAGAAAATCTCCTAATATACTGTACTTCAGACAGAATCCTCAAGAAAGATATTAACCCTGATAGTGAGAATAACCTAGACCTAAACTAAGGGCTGTTCTGCATCTGCCATTACTAAACTTTTTTGGTTTCTTTCTAAAGGCTGTTTTTTTAAAATTTCTTAATATTTATTTTTATTTCAATAATTTTTAGGGTACAGGTGGCTTTTGGTTAAATGGATAAGCTCCTTAGTGGTGATTTCTGAGATTTTAGTGAACCTGTCACACCTGTCATCCGAGCAGTGTGCACTGTACCCAATATGTAGTCTTTTATTTCTCATGCCCCTCCCAAGCTTCCCCCACCGAACCCCCAAAGTCCATTATATAATTCTTATGCCTTTGCATTCTCATAGCTTAGCTCCCATTTATAAGCGAGAACATACAATATTTGGTTTTCAATTCCTGAGTTCACTTAGAATAATGGCTTCCAGGTCCATTTTAGTTGCTGCAAAAGATATTATTTAATTCTTTTTTTGTGACTGAGTAGTATTCCATGGTGTGTATATAAGACATTTTCTTTAAACACTTTGGTTGATGGGCACATAGGTTGGTTCCATATCCTTGCAATTGCAAACTGTGCTGTTATAAACATGCCTGTGCATGCATCTTTTTCATATAATAACTCCTTTTCTTTTTTTCTGGATAGATGCCCAGTAGTGGGATTGCTGGATGAAATGGCATTTCTACTTTTAGTTCTTCAAGGAATCTCCATACTATTTCCCACAGTTGTACTAATTTACATTCCCATCAGCAGTGTCAAAGTGTTCCAATTTCACCACATGCAAGCCAACATCTATATTTTTTTTGACTTTTTAATTATGGTCATTCTTGCAGGAGTAATGTGGCATCTCACTGTGGCTTTAATATACATTTCCCTTATAATTAGTGATGTTAAGCATTTTTTCATATGTTTGTTGGCTGTTTGTATATCTTCTTTGGAGAATTTTCTATTAATGTGCTTTGCCCGTATTAATAATGGGATTATTATCATTTTTTCTTGCTGATTTGTTTAAATTCCTTGTAGATTCTTGATATTAGTCCTTCGTTGTATGCATAGTTTGTGAATATTTTCTCCCAGTCAGTGGGTTGTCTGTTTACTCTACTGATTATCTCTTTTGCTGTGCAGAAGCTTTTTAGTTTAATCAGGTACAATTTATTTATTTTTGTTTCTCTTGCATTTGTTTCTGGGGTCTTAGTCAGGAATTATTTGCCTAAGCCAATGCCTGGAAAAGTTTTTCTAATGTTATCTTCTAGAATTTTTAGGGTTTCTATGTGTGGTGTCTATATATATATATTACTTTTTCTTTATCCATTCATCTATTGATGGACACTTAGGTTGATTCCATATTTTTGAAATTGGGAATACAGCTGCAATAAACATGAGGGTGCAGGTATGTCTTAATATACTAATTTTTTTTAATACCCAGAAGTGGAATTGCTGAATCAGATAGTAGTTCTCTTTTTAGTTAATTGAGAAATTTCCATACTGTTTTTCATTATGTCTGTGCCACTTTACACGTCCACCAACAGTGTATAAGAGTTTTATTTTCTCTGCATTCTTGCCAGCAACTTGTATTTTTTTGTCTTTGTGATTATAGCCATTTTAACTGGGTTAAGACAATATCTCATTGTGGTTTTGATTTGTATTTTCCTAATAATTAGTGATGTTGAGCATTTTTTCACATACCTGTTTGCTATTTGTATGTCTTCTTTTGAGAAATGTCTATCCATGTCATTTGTTCATTTTTAATAGAATTATTTGGGCTTTCTTACTGTTAAGTTATTTGTATATTCTGGATATTAGTCCCTTGTCAGATAAATAGTTAGAAAATATATTCTCCCATTCATCAGGTTGTCTCTTCTCTCTGTTGATTGTTTGTTTTGCTGTGCAGAAGCTTTTAAGTCTAATATAGTTCTATACTACACTATGTAAATAGCGTAATATGTTTACCTTTGGGGTTTTTGCCTGTGCTTTTGAGGTTTCAGCCATCACATTTCTGCCTAAACCAATGTCCTGGACTGTTTCTAGTGTATTTTCCTCTAGTACTCTTAATGTATCAGGCCTTATATTTAAGTATTTCATTCCTGTTGAGTTATCTGTATATAATGAGAGATAGGATCTATAGGTACCCAGTTTTCCCTGCATCATTTATTGAGGAGGATGTCCTTTTTTCAATATTTTTTCTTTCTGCCTTTGTAGACACTCAGCTGGCTATAAATATTTGAATTTATTTTGGGGTTCTGTATTCTGTTTCATTGGTCTATGTGTCTGTTTTTATACCAATACCATACTGTTTGGTTACTATAGCCTTGAAGTATATTTTGAAGTTAGGTAATGTGATGCCTCCATCTTTGTTCTTTTTACTCAGCATCACTTTTGATATTCAGGCTCTTTTTTGGTTCTATATAAATTTTAGAGATTTTTTTATTTCTGTGACAAACATCATTGGTATTTTGATAGAGATTACATTGTATCTACAGGTTGCTTTGGGTAGTATGATCATGTTAACAATATTAATTCTTATGACCCATGAGCATGTGATGTCTTTCCATTTGTTTGTGTCCTCTTCAATTTCTCTCATCAGTTTTGTAGTTTTCCCTGTAGAGGTTGTTTATTTCCTTGGCTAAATATGGAGGTATTTTACTTTCTTGATTAAATTTATTCCTATGCATTTTATTTATTTTTACTTATTGAAAATGGGATTGCCTCTTTTGTTGTTGTTGTTCAGCTACTTCATTATCGACATATAGAAATGCTACTGATTTTTTAGTATTGATTTTGTATTTTGCGGACATATCTAAGAATTCTTTGGTGGATTCTTTAGTTTTTTTTTTTTTCCAAATATAAGTTCATGTCATCTACAAAGGGCACAATTTCATTTTCTATTTTCCAATTTGGATGCCTTTCACATATTTCTCTTGCCTGATTGGTTTGATTAGGACTTCCAATAATGCATTAAATAGGAGTGGGAAAAGTAGGCATTCTTGTCTTCTTACAGTTTTTAGCAGAATGGATATAACTTTTACTAATTCACTATAATGTAAGCTGTGGCTTTGTCATATATGACCTTTATTATGTTCATGTATTTTTTAAATTTTAAGAGTTATTATCATGATGGAATGTTGAGTTTTATCAAATGCTTTTTCTGTGTCAATTGTGATGATATCATTTTTGTCCCTAATTGGGTTCATGTGACACATCACATTGATTTGCTTATGTTCAATCATCCAGGCACCCTTGAGATAAATCCCACTTGACCATTGTGTATTATCTTTTGGATGAGCTGTTGGATTCAGTTTAGTAGTATTTTGATGAGGAATTTTGCATCTATGATCATGAGGGATTTTGTTCTGTAGTTTTCTTTATTGTTTTGTCCCCATGTGGTTTCAGTATCAGGGTAATGCTGGCCTCATAGAATGAGTCAGGGAGAATTCTCTTCTCTTTAATAATGTGGATTAGTTTGAGGAGAAATACTGTTACTTCATTACACTTTGGTAGAACTTAGCAGTGACGCCATCTGGTCCCAGGCACTTTTTTGGTGAGAGACTTTTTATTACCGAGTCAGTCTCATTACTCATTATTAGACTGTTTAGGTTTTCTATTTCTTCATGATTCAATCTTGGTAGGTTTTATGTGTCCAGGAACTCATCCATTGCCTCTAGGTTTTCCAGTTTGTTAGCATGTTCATAGTAGCCTCTAATGATCTTTTGCATTTCTTTCATTCTTTTTTTTTTTTTTTTTTTTTTGAGACAGAGTCTCGCTTTGTCACCCAGTCTGGAGTGCAGTGGCGTGATTTCGGTTCACTGCAAGCTCCGCTTCCTGGGTTCACGCCATTCTCCTGCCTCACCCTCCCAAGTAGCTGGGACTACTTGGGAGGGTGCCTGTAGGCACCCGCCACCATGCCTGGCCAATTTTTTGTGTTTTTAGTAGAGACGGGGTTTCACCGTATTACCCAGGATGGTTTCAATCTCCTGTCCTCTTGATCCGCCCGCCTCGACCTCCCAAAGTGTTGGGATTACAGGCGTGAGCCATAGCGCCTGGCCGATCTCTTGTATTTCTTTATTTCTTATGGTATCGGTTATAATATCTCATTTCATTTCTAAATTTCTTTGACTCTTCCCTCTTTTTTTCTTGATTTGTCTAGCTAGTGGTGAATCAATTTTGTCTTTTTTTTTGGTTCTTTGTAATTTTAGTATCTATTTTATTTAATTCTCCTTTGATTTTTATTATTTCTTTCATTTTACTAACTTTTAGTTTGATTTGTTCTTGCTTTTCTAGTTCCTTTAAGTGAATCAATAGGTTGTTTATTTGAAATATTTCTACTTTTTCAATGAAAGAATTTATAGTTATAAATCTCACCCTCAGTACTGCTTTCGCTGTATCAAAAATGTTTGCTATATTGCCTTTTCATTTTCATTTGTTTCAAGACATTTTTAAATTTCTTCTTAATTTCTTCGTTGACCCAATGGTCATTCAGGAGCATGCTGTTTAATTTCTACATATTTGTGCAGTTTCCAAAGTTCCTCTTGCTATTTATTTTTAGTTTTATTCCCTTGTGGTCTGAGAAAAAAATATATACAATTGTGATTTAAAAAAAAATTGTAAAGACTTGGTTTTTGGTCTAACATATGGTTTATTCTGAAGAATGTTCTATGTACTGATGAGAACAATGTGTGTTCTGCAGCTGTTGGGTAAATGTCTGTCAGGTCCATTTGTTATAAAGTGAAGTTTAAATCCAATGTTTCTTTGCTGACTTTCTGTCTAGATGATCTGTCTAGTGCTGAGAATGGGGTGTTAAAATCTCCAACTCTTATTGTATTGGAAACTCTCTCTCCCTTTAGATCTAATATTTGTTTTATATATCTGGGTGCTCCAGTGTTGGGTGTTTATATATTTAGTATTGTTATATTCTCTTGGTGAAATGATCCCTTTATTTTATGACAACCTTCTTTGTCTCTTTTTACTGGTTTTGACTTAAAGTCTGTTTAACTCACGTAACTATAGCTATTAATGCTTACTTTAATTTGCATTTGTGTGGAATATCTTTTTCTATTTCTTTCCTTTCAGTTTATATGTTTCTTGTGGACAATATATATTAGGCCATTTTGTACCTTTCAGGCCGTCTGTATTTTTTGAGTGGAAATATTAATCTGTTTACATTAAAGACTATTATTGATATATGAGGACTTACTCCTTTCATTTTGTTCATTGTTTTTTAGTTGTTTTGTGTATCATTGTTTTGTATATGCTTTCTCTTTTATTGTTTGTCATTTTGATTTGGTAGTTTTCATTAGTATTAACATTCGAATCTTTTCTCTTTTTCGTTTGAGTGTTTGTTCTACCAGTGAGTATTATACTTCCATGTATTTTCATTTTTGTAGATACCTGTCATTTTTCTTCCAGGTTTAAAACTTCCTTAAGTAATTCTTGTATGGGTGGTCTAGTGGTCATGAATTTCATCAGCTTTTGCTTGCCTGAGAAATAGCTTGTGTCTCCTTTTATGAAGCATAACTTTGCGGGGTATAGTATCTTTGATTGACTGTTTTTCTTTTTTCCAGCACTTTTAATATGTCATCCCATTTGCTTCTGGTCTGTAAGGTTTCTACTGAGAAATCTGCTGTTGTTCTTACGAAGGTTTCCTTATAAGTGACTAGATGCTTTTCTCTTGGTGATTTTACAATTATCTCCTTGTCTTTGACTTCCGGCAGTTTAGCTATAATGCACCTTGGAGAAGACCTTTTTGGCTTGTATCTATTTGAGGATCTCTAAGCTTCCTTTATCTTGATGTCTAAATCTTTTGCTAGACATTGGAAGTTCTCATCTATAATTTCATTAAATAGATTTTCCATGCCCTTGACCTTCTCTTCAACTTCTGAAATAGCCAAAATTTGAAAATTTCATTGCTTTATTTGTCCCATAGGTCAAGTAGGCTTTTTTAATTCTCTGTATCCTTTTTCTTTCATGTTTGAATGAGCTATTTCTAAAGGCCTGTCTTCAAGTTCTGAAATTATTTTTTCTGCTTGATACAGTCTATTGTTTTCAAGCTCTCAATTACATATGTGTTTTTATTTCATTCATTTAACTCTTCAGTTCTAGGATTTATGTTGCATTCTTTTTCATGATATATATCTCTTTGGTGAATTTCTCATTCATATCTTAAATTTTTTTTTTACTGATTTATGTGTGTTATCTGTGTTTACTTGTATTTCATGCAGCTTCTGTAATATTATTATTTTGAATTCTTTTTTAATTTCATACTTTTTTCATTAGATTCTGTTGCTGGAGAATTATTGTGTTCATTTGGAGGTGTCATTTCTTTTTTTTTCATTTTTTTTGTTTTGTTTTGTTTTCCTACTGTGATATCTGTTCATCTGTTGTAAAAGTTATTTCTAGTTATTTGAAATGGCTTACATAGGGAAAGACTTTTTTTTTGAAAATGTATCTATGGTGTTCGTTGAGTAAGGTACTTTAGCTTTGATTCTGCATACATTCAGTGGTGTAGTATCCACATGAATTCTTCAGATATAAAAGAGCATCAGTGATGTCTGCCACTTTCTTGTTGATTTAGGCTGGAGTGGTTAGTGGAGGGTGTGGTGAGGCTTTGCTGTGGATGGGTCACCAGGGGCATCAGTCCTTGGGCCCCAATCGTGGCAGCAGCAGGCTAATTGTGCCAGTTTTTGTGCCCCTAGATGGCATACATGGACACCAGTAATAGTGGGTCTAGTCACACCAATTATTGGACCTCCAGGAAGCTTGCCCAGGTGATGCCAGTGACAACAGTAGGCTGGCTGGGTGGGCAAGTCTTCTGGGCCCTGGGTAGCATGTGTAGCATGAAGATGGCATTTGCAGTGGTGGGCAACCATCAGGCTACCAGGTATCACATACTTGTGTTATTGGTGCCTGCAATGGGCTGCACGGACCAGTACCCAAGCTTCCAGGTGGCATGTGTGGGTGGATGCTTGTTATTTTGGAGGCAACAGGTAGGGTGGGCCCATCCTCAGGCACCTGGGAGAAATGTACAGATGCCAGCAATGGTGAATGGAGCAGGGCAATTCTCAGGCCCTGGCATGGCATGTTTTGGCACTGGATATGGTGCCAGGCTGAATGGGCCTGTTCTCAGGACTTCCTGGTCATGCCCACAGGAGAAAGATATGGTGACCAGGGCAGGTATATCCCCAGGCCCCAAGGTTTTGTTGCTTGGGTTGGGGCAGCAGCAGCAGTGGTGGGAAGGGAAATCTGTTTTCAGGATGCATGCACATGTGCAGCAGCCTTGCTGCTGGTGGTGGAGGCAGGGCTGCTATAAGTAGGAGTGGCCCAACCAAGTGGCTCTCAGGCTCTGGGAAGCAAGAGCCTCAGTCCCACGGTCAGGAGTTATGGCAGCAAGTGGGGAACATCTGTCCTCAGGGCATGTGCAGGTTTGTTACTGCTGCTGATTGGGCCAAAGTTGGGGCAAAGTTGTTGTCAGTGGCAGCAGTTTCAGTCAGGCAGTTCTCAGGCTCTAAGGACCTCACACTTTATGTTGGCAGCAGCAATAGGAAGGGAAAGCCTGTCCTCAGGGTGTGTGCAAGTATGCAGTGGCTCTACTGTTGATGAGAGTAGAGTTGCTCTCAGTGGCAGCAGTTCCAGGCAAGTGGCTTTCAGGCTCTGAGGAGTGCATGCTTTGGCTCCTTTTGGCTCTTTTTGCCCCGGGTCGGGCGGGGGGCGGGGGGTGGGGGTGCAGCTTCCCTGATACACCACACTCTCCATTCCCTGGGATATAGGACACTGAGTGGGCTAGAGTAGTGAGGACTCCACAACACTACTAGGTCCAATCAGTTTTGTACCACTGCAGCCCTCAGGTAGATGTAGGGCAATATCAATGGAGCTCCAGGATTGGGGAGGTATCATGGCTATTGGGCATCAAAACAGATTGCAGTCTAATTGGGCTGGGCTCTCAAAATGGTGTCATGCTTCAGTTTCTTGGGTTTCATTGGGTGTGTGGGATGCAGCATGGGCACCCTTTCTGGAACAGTACTATTGTATGGACTCCGGGCAGCTCCTGATACTAGTCTCAAGGCCCATGAGGGTCTAGAAGCTTTCTCAAAGCTAGGATTACAGGAGTCCATGGTGAGAATGTGGACCTCTGGGGATCTCTCACTTACTCTTTCACTGCACTAGGAAACCTCTCCAGGTCTCCAGTCAATCTAGAATGGGCTGGATATCTTGCTTCCCTCTCCTTTCGTGCCTCAGGCATTTCTTGTCACTTCTATGCTGAATTCTAGTGTTATCCATTAGATGATCTATTCATAGTGTGATTATATACTTGCTATTTTGGTTTTTCTTTGTGGAGAATGTGAGTGCTGAATGCCTCCACCATCATCTGTTACCTCATGCTTTGAGATAAAAATTTTCACAATTTATTTGAACTTTCCTTACCTTAAAATTAAATGTTAAATCCTATCTACAATATATGTCATACATTACTTAATGATGGGGATACATTCTGAGGAATACATTGTACATTGTTAGGTGATTTTGTCATTTTTGTAAACATGACAGAATGTACTTACACAAACTTAGATGGTACAGCCTATCAAGCACCTATGCTATATGGTACAGCCTATTGCTCCCAGGCTACAAACCTGTACAGCATATTACTGTTCTGAATATTGTAGGCAATTGTAACACAAAGACAATTTTTTTGTATCTACACATATCTAATATAGAAAAGGTAACACTTTGCACTGTGATGTTACTGTATTAATCCATTTTCATGCTGCTAATAAAGATATACCAAAGACTGGGTAATTTATAAAGAAAAAGAAGTTTAATGGACTCACAGTTTCACATGGCTGGGGAGTCCTCACAATCATGGTGGAAGACAAAAGGCACGTCTTACCCCTTATAAAACCATCAGATCTCATGAGACTTATTCAATACCCCAAGAACAGTATGGGGGAAACAGCCCCCATGATTCAATTATCTTCCACCAGGTCCCTCCCACAACATGTGGGAATTATGGGAGCTATAATTCAAGATGCAATTTGGGTGGAGACACAGCCAAACTTTATCAGTTACCATGGCTAGGTCACTCGACAATGGAAAAGGTTCAGCTCCTTATAATCCTAATGGGACCACAACCATTTATGCAGTCCATCATTCACTGAAATGTCATTATGTGGTACATGACCATATCCACAAAATGTTTGGGTAATCTTTTTCAGTGACTTGCAATACCTTGCTCTTTTATTTCATTATTATTTTTTATTATAAAACTAATGCGTGGATAAATGTTTTTTGTAAAGTATTTTAACAATACACTTGTATCAAAGGCAAAATATGACCATCTTTCTTATCACCACTCTCTAATCTCATTCCTACTCCCATAGGAAACTACCACCAATAATTTGGAGGGCAATTTTTGCAGTTTGCTTCATAGTTTGATTTCACATACCAGAAAAACCTCAAATATGTATGGTTTAAACATGATAAAAGTTTATTACTCCATCTTGTAAATTACATCCACAGGTATATTGTTCAGAGTAGTTATGGCAGCTGTACAGTCACAAGGAACTCAGAATTTTTTTGCACCACTACCCAATCACATTTTTTCTGTTTTCAAGGTCACCCTATGGTCTATGATGACTGCTGGTGCCCCAGTCATTATGTGTACATTAAAGACAAAATGATTGGAGAAGAAAAAATCAAAGAGGTTTCACTAATTATCTGTTTTCCTTTTAAAGAGGCTCCTGAATGTCCTTTCCAAAAATTCTCCTCGCACATTTTTTACCAGAATTAAATTTCATGGCCACATTGGCAGCAGGCAAAGGTGAGAAATGTCTTTTAGCTGGAAATATTCCCCCTTTTAATGTTATTAGTGTTCTGTTAGTAAAGAAGGAGTAAATGTATGTTAGATAGGCAAAAAGAAGTACCTGCCCATGCATATAAAGGAAAATATACACAGGTGCATTTTTCATAAAGAAAATAGCACTACCAATATTGACTCAATATCTCCATATGGATACATAAAACTGTTTTTCCAATTCACACATACTTATTGGACCAATATTTATGTGATAGGAAATAAGGCAATCTATTACAGTTTTCAATCTTTACTATTACAGTTGCAAATATATTTAAATATATTTAAAGTATAAAACATACTTCCCAAATACTTTCCAAAAAGACTTCATTAATTTTTACTTTAACCAACGATGAAACTATTCCAAAACTGACCACATAGTTGGAAGTAAAGCTCTCCTCAGCAAATGTAAAAGAACAGAAATTATAACAAACTATCTCTCAGACCACAGTGCAATCAAACTAGAACTCAGGATTAAGAATCTCACTCAAAGCCGCTCAACTACATGGAAACTGAACAACCTGCTCCTGAATGACTACTGGGTACATAACGAAATGAAGGCAGAAATAAAGATGTTCTTTGAAACCAACGAGAACAAAGACACAACATACCAGAATCTCTGGGACGCATTCAAAGCAGTGTGTAGAGGGAAATTTATAGCACTAAATGCCCACAAGAGAAAGCAGGAAAGATCCAAAATTGACACCCTAACATCACAATTAAAAGAACTAGAAAAGCAAGAGCAAACACATTCAAAAGCTAGCAGAAGGCAAGAAATAACTAAAATCAGAGCAGAACTGAAGGAAATAGAGACACAAAAAACCCTTCAAAAAATCAATGAATCCAGGAGCTGGTTTTTTGAAAGGATCAACAAAATTGATAGACCGCTAGCAAGACTAATAAAGAAAAAAAGAGAGGAGAATCAAATAGACACAATAAAAAATGATAAAGGGGATATCACCACCGATCCCACAGAAATACAAACTACCATCAGAGAATACTACAAACACCTCTATGCAAATAAACTAGAAAATCTAGAAGAAATGGATACATTGCTTGACACATACACTCTCCCAAGACTAAACCAGGAAGAAGTTGAATCTCTGAATAGACCAATAACAGGAGCTGAAATTGTGGCAATAATCAATAGTTTACCAACCAAAAAGAGTCCAGGACCAGATGGATTCACAGCCGAATTCTACCAGAGGTACAAGGAGGAACTGGTACCATTCCTTCTGAAACTATTCCAATCAATAGAAAAAGAGGGAATCCTCCCTAACTCATTTTATGAGGCCAGCATCATCCTGATACCAAAGCCGGGCAGAGACACAACCAAAAAAGAGAATTTTAGACCAATATCCTTGATGAACATTGATGCAAAAATCCTCAATAAAATACTGGCAAACCGAATCCAGCAGCACATCAAAAAGCTTATCCACCATGATCAAGTGGGCTTCATCCCTGGGATGCAAGGCTGGTTCAATATATGCAAATCAATAAATGTAATCCAGCATATAAACAGAGCCAAAGACAAAAACCACATGATTATCTCAATAGATGCAGAAAAAGCCTTTGACAAAATTCAACAACCCTTCATGCTAAAAACTCTCAATAAATTAGGTATTGATGGGACGTATTTCAAAATAATAAGAGCTATCTATGACAAACCCACAGCCAATATCATACTGAATGGGCAAAAACTGGAAGCATTCCCTTTGAAAACTGGCACAAGACAGGGATGCCCTCTCTCACCGCTCCTATTCAACATAGTGTTGGAAGTTCTGGCCAGGGCAATCAGGCAGGAGAAGGAAATAAAGGGTATTCAATTAGGAAAAGAGGAAGTCAAATTGTCCCTGTTTGCAGATGACATGATTGTTTACCTAGAAAACGCCATCGTCTCAGCCCAAAATCTCCTTAAGCTGATAAGCAACTTCAGCAAAGTCTCAGGATACAAAATCAATGTACAAAAATCACAAGCATTCTTATACACCAATAACAGACAAACAGAGAGCCAAATCATGAGTGAACTCCCATTCACAATTGCTTCAAAGAGAATAAAATACCTAGGAATCCAACTTACAAGGGATGTGAAGGACCTCTTCAAGGAGAACTACAAACCACTGCTCAAGGAAATAAAAGAGGATACAAACAAATGGAAGAACATTCCATGCTCATGGGTAGGAAGAATCAATATCGTGAAAATGGCCATACTGCCCAAGGTAATTTACAGATTCAATGCCATCCCCATCAAGCTACCAAAGACTTTCTTCACAGAATTGGAAAAAACTACTTTAAAGTTCATATGGAACCAAAAAAGAGCCCGCATCACCAAGTCAATCCTAAGCCAAAAGAACAAAGCTGGAGGCATCACACTACCTGACTTCAAACTATACTACAAGGCTACAGTAACCAAAACAGCATGGTACTGGTACCAAAACAGAGATATAGATCAATGGAACAGAACAGAGCCCTCAGAAATAATGCCGCATACCTACAACTATCTGATCTTTGACAAACCTGAGAAAAACAAGCAATGGGGAAAGGATTCCCTATTTAATAAATGGTGCTGGGAAAACTGGCTAGCCATATGTAGAAAGCTGAAACTGGATCCCTTCCTTACACCTTATACGAAAATCAATTCAAGATGGATTAAAGATTTAAACGTTAGACCTAACACCATAAAAACCCTAGAAGAAAACCTAGGCGTTACCATTCAGGACATAGGCGTGGGCAAGGACTTCATGTCCAAAACACCAAAAGCAATGGCAACAAAAGCCAAAATTGACAAATGGGACCTAATTAAACTAAAGAGCTTCTGCACAGCAAAAGAAACTACCATCAGAGTGAACGGGCAACCTACAAAATGGGAGAAAATTTTCGCAACCTACTCATCTGACAAAGGGCTAATATCCAGAATCTACAATGAACTCAAACAAATTTACAAGAAAAAAACAAACAACCCCATCAAAAAGTGGGCGAAGGACATGAACAGACACTTCTCAAAAGAAGACATTTATGCAGCCAAAAAATACATGAAAAAATGCTCATCATCACTGGCCATCAGAGAAATGCAAATCAAAACCACTATGAGACACCATCTCACACCAGTTAGAATGGCAATCATTAAAAAGTCAGGAAACAACAGGTGCTGGAAAGGATGTGGAGAAATAGGAACACTTTTACACTGTTGGTGGGACTGTAAACTAGTTCAACCATTGTGGAAGTCAGTGTGGCGATTCCTCAGGGATCTAGAACTAGAAATACCATTTGACCCAGCCATCCCATTACTGGGTATATACCCAAATGACTATAAATCATGCTGCTATAAAGACACATGCACACGTATGTTTATTGCGGCATTATTCACAATAGCAAAGACTTGGAACCAACCCAAATGTCCAACAATGATAGACTGGATTAAGAAAATGTGGCACATATACACCATGGAATACTATGCAGCCATAAAAAATGATGAGTTCATGTCCTTTGTAGGGACATGGATGAAATTGGAAACCATCATTCTCAGTAAACTATCGCAAGAACAAAAAACCAAACACCGCATATTCTTACTCATAGGTGGGAATTGAACAATGAGATCACATGGTCACAGGAAGGGGAATATCACACTCTGGGAACTGTGGTGGGGTGGAGGGAGGGGGGAGGGGTAGCATTGGGAGATATACCTAATGCTAGATGACGAGTTAGTGGGTGCAGCGCACCAGCATGGCACATGTATACATATGTAACTAACCTGCACATTGTGCACATGTACCCTAAAACTTAAAGTATAATAAAAAAAAAAAAAAGAAACTCATTACTTTTAAAAGGCAAGCATTTTTAAAATAATTTCAACTTTTATTTTAGATTCAGGGAGTACATGTGCAAGTTGATTACCTGGGTATATTGCATGATGTTGATGTTTGGGGTATGATTGATTCCATCACCCAGGCACTGATCATAGTACTCAATAGTTACGTTTTCAACCCTTGACCCTTCCCTCCTCCCGTCCCTCTTCTAGTAGTCTCCAGTGTCTGTCGTTATCATCTTTATGTCATCACTACCCATTGTTTAGCTCTCATTTATAAGAAAGAGCATGCTGTATTTGGTTTTCTTCTCCTGCATTAATTCTCTTAGGATAATGGCCTCTAGCTCCATCCATGTTGCTGCAAAGGACATGATTGTATTCTTTTCATGGCTGTGTAGTATTCCATGGTGTATATGTACCATATTTTCTTTATCCAATCCACCACTGATAGGCACCTAGGTAGATTCCATGTCTTTGCTGTTGTGAATAGTGCTGCAATGAACATATGAGTTCATGTGTCTTTCAGGTAGACTAATTTATTTCCGTTTGGATATATGCCCAGTAATGAGATTGTTGGTTGAATAGTAGTTCTAAGTTCTTTCAGAAATTGCCAAACTACTTTCCAAAGGTGCTGAACTAATTTACATTCCTACCAACAAATATGTGTGTTCCCTTTTCTCTGCACCTCACCAGCATCTGTTGTAAGGCAACCATTTTCATTAAAAAAGTAAAATAAATGAATTGTCAAATTTCAAATAGAATGAAATAATTTAATAACTAATATAATCTCCATCTCTTCCAAGCCTCTTCCCCAGAGTCAACCACAGTTACTAGTCTCTCCTGTATCAGTTCAGAGTTTTTTATGCCTTAAAAACATATGTTGGTATAGTTATACTCTATTCTTCAATTCAAGTGAAGACATACAAATCTGGCTTTTGTTTTGTTTTCTCCTCTTTGGCTTTGTCACTTACCTGTGTATATTAAAATAATCCATCACCATATTCGTTTTCATCACTCTTTATTTTTACATCTGTAAGATGTACAAGTCTATGGATAAAATTAAAATTATTAAATAGTTACTTCTGATGTTTAGATTGTTTTCCTGTGTTTACAAACTTTGCTGCAATGAACATTCTGTGTGTATCTTTGTACATACATTTGTATATATTTATATACGTATATTTACATACACATGCAAGTTTTGTAGATGTAGAATTGCTGAGATAAAGGACATATTCATTTTACATTTTAATAGGTATTGCAAAATTGCTCTGTATAGAGGTGGTGCAATTTAAGTTCCTGTTAACTTCGTTTAAAAGTGCCTGTTCCCTACAGGTGCTGGAGAGGATGTGGAGAAATAGGAACACTTTTACACTGTTGCTGGGACTGTAAACTAGTTCAAGCATTGTGGAAGTTGGTGTGGCGATTCCTCAGGGATCTAGAACTAGAAATACCATTTGACCCAGCCATCCCATTACTGGGTATACACCCAAAGGATTATAAATCATACTGCTATAAAGACACATGCACACGTATGTTTATTGCGGCACTATTCACAATAGCAAAGACTTGGAACCAACCCAAATGTCCAACAATGATAGACTGGATTAAGAAAATGTGGCACATATACACCATGGAATACTATGCAGCCATAAAAAAGGATGAGTTCATGTCCTTTGTAGGGACATGGATGAAGCTGGAAACCATCATTCTCAGCAAACTATCGCGAGGACAAAAAACCGAACACCGCATGTTCTCACTCATAGGTGGGAATTGAACAATGAGAACACATGGACACAGGAAGGGGAACATCACACACCGGCGACTGTTGTGGGGTGGGGGGAGGGGGGAGGGATAGCATTAGGAGATATACCTAATGCTAAATGATGAGTTAATGGGTGCAGCACACCAACATGGCACATGTATACATATGTAACTAACCTGCACTGTGCACATGTACCCTGAAACTTAAAGTATAATAATCAAAAAAGTGCCTGTTCCCTCACTCTTTCATCAACACACTGATCTTACTCAAATCTTTGTGTTGCTTTTAGTTAAGAACATAGGTGGAAAATTATATCTTGCTATTATTTTAATATGCATTATGACTCTCATTGAGCACAATTGTTTGTAATTAAATACCTTTTATGTCCTCTATGACATGCCTTTTCCCATAATATCTCATTGTGATTTCGATATGCATTTTTCTAATGATCAGTGGTGTTGAGCTTTTCTTCACGTTTGTTGGCTGTATAAATGTCTTGTTTTGAAAAGTGTCTGTTCATCTCATTTGCCCACTTTTTCACGTTGTTGTTTGTTTTTTCTTGTAAATTTCTTTAAGTTCCTTGTAGATTCTGGATATTAGACCTTTGTCAGATGGATAGATTGTGAAATTTTTCTCCCATTCTGTAGGATGTCTGTTCACAGTAATGATAGTTTCTTTTGCTGTGCTGAAGTTCTTTAGTTTAATTAAATCCCATTTGTCAATTTTTGCTTTTAATGCAATTGCTTTTGATATTTTCATCATGAAATCTTTGTCCACGCCTATGTCCTGAATGGCATTGCCCAGATTTTCTTCTAGGGTTTTTATAGTTTTGGTTTCTACATTTAAGTATTTAATTCATCTTGAGTTAATTTTTGTATATGGTATAAGGAAGGGGTCCAGTTTCAATTTTCTGCATATGGATAGCCAGTTTTCCCAGCACCACCTATTGAATAGGGAATCCTTTCCCCATTGCTTGTTTTTGTCAGGTTTGTGGAAGATAAGATGTTGTAGATTTGTGATATTATTTCTGAGATCTCTATTCTGTTCCATAGGTCCAACTATTTTTTACCATGAGAAAATATGGATCGATATTGTCAGATCTTCCTGTTTTTCAGGAAAATTCAGAAACCAAGATTTTTATGTAACACTTCTTGATTTTGTAATGTCTTAATTTTGCCAAAAGACTGCATTAACTAAGCAAATATATTCATAGGCAAGATATACCTCATGGGCTATAACTTTCCCGCTTCTAAATTATCCTTGGCTTTTAACACCTTTTAAATGAAAATTAGATACTTCTATGTTTATGATGATAATAATAGTAATAATTCATTGCCAAAGCAGAGCACTCACTATTTATCAGACACTGTGCTAAGCACTTTACATATTTTATCACATTTAGTCATTTTAAAATAATCTATGAGGTGGGTATTACTGTTATCCTCATTTTACTAATGAATGAGCTGAGGATTAGAGAGGTAGAACAACTTGTTCATAAGAGTAGAATTAGTATTTACACACATGGCTGTCTGAAATCACGTCATTACTCTTAACCACTTACCATGAATGAAGTTTTATACTGACAGCCATGGGTGTAAATACTAATACTAAAATGCAGAGATAAAATCACCCCTTTTTTAAACATAATTTTTGTATCTTTTATCTTCTTGGACTAAGTTGCAATTTTAAAAATAATGACTGTAAAGCTTCTAACGCCATGCCTGAATCATAGTAACTGCTCTATGAATATCACGTATTATGTATCTTTTTTTGTAATAGATACATAATTTTTGTTATGTTTGACTATTTTTGAAAGGATCGTTTCCTAATTTTATCTGTAGGAAAACAGATTGTGTTTATTAAACATTAAATAAATTATCTAAGAACCAAATAAATAAATTGTCTAAGAAACACATAAATGTTTACTCTTTCATTTATACATAAAATGTGTAATAATTAGTGAAAAACTAATCCAGGACTCTAAATATTGTCAAATGCTTGTGCTACCAAAAAATGAGTTTTGCACATTTTAACACTAAACTTTTATTTTGTTCTTTTCCTCTGTTATCTAAATTTAGCAAGTCCCTTGACAACTTGTTGCAGAATTCATTGGGAGCCACAGAAAGATATGGAAAGACCCAATTGTGAATTGAATCCAAAGCTTCCTCATCTAAAGGCAACAATTGTCATCGTCTCGTATTGTTAAGATATATTTTCTGACAAAAGACTTTTGCTTTGCCCTAACTAACTCAAAAATATTCCAGAGCTATGTTTTTACTGATTGACATTGGTAAGAAGAAAAGCATGTTTCTTTATGCTCTCACCAACAATGGAATTTTCTCAAAACATTTGGAATGTTTGCATTCTGCTTTAGGTTACCTGAACTATTGAATGGCTTTTTCCATCTTCCCATAATCCACATTGCTTAAGTGAAGATTTATGTTTACCTGAGCTCTCAGAGATTTAAGGCTTTCATTGCTTTATCATTTTTTTCTGAAATATATTGCCATCAAAATGTCTTATGTTTAATATAATGTAACCATACACTTATAGAATTATTTTGCAACAAGATACAAAAGCTATTTTTATATTTAGAAAGAAACATCAAATTCTAAACATTAATAGTATATTTCTCTGAAAATTGATTATATACAATTCCATGTACTCCAAATTTAAACAGTAGTGTCTTGTTCATGGTAAAATATAGTCTATCACAAATAATACATGAAACAATATATCATAAAACAGCAACATACCAGGATATTTTCTTTACTCTTTCTTTTTACTTTCTTTTAATAAGTGGTAATAAAAAGTTACTGAATTCATGGCAAGTAATGGAAGCCGTCATAGACTTGGTACAATCTCTGGAACTTCAGATAACTGTTCCTATTTTATTCAAGAAGGTTAAATTTGTAATACGGTAATAATTAAGGACACTTGAAGAAAAATAACTCCTATGGAATTTAGTTACAATTATAATTCCAGTTAATGATTATTCATCTTTTGATCCATTCACGAAATGCCCATTTTATGATAAACACAGTGTTAAGCAAACTAAAGCTAATATGGCACAGGTTCGCTTCCAGAAAAGTCATAGTCTGGTAATGAGGGACAGATATGTAAAAATCATAACCTCAATGAAATTCATAGGTACAATTGTAGAAGAAAGAAAAGAGCACGGTGTTGGGGACTAGGTGGGGAAAAGATCAGAACAGGCTCCAAAGAGACTAAATTTAAGAAAAGTCTTGATTGTTCAAAGTTTTCTCATTGCATTCAAGGGAGTCATCAGGAGTAAATGCAAAAGAGTGAGGAAGGGAGCCTGGTTTGCTCAAAAAACTGTGTCCTGAATGGTTAGAACTTAAGTGCAATGAAAAGAATCAAGGTCAGATGTTGGAGGACACCAAACATGATATAAAGGAGTTTGATATTTATGCTATGAGAAATGTGTTGTAAGCTGAGTACAAGTTTATGTTCTAGGGCAAAAAAAAAATTCTGTGTAAACTTCGAAGTGAACACAATTAGCTTTGTTATCTGGGAAACATTACTTGATATTTTTATTCTCATTTTTCTCAGGAGTAAAATTAAAATTATAATAAGAAAAGCTAGATCTTACGAACTGTTTACTATATGCCAGGTGCTATGGGTCTCCTCATGGATAAAATCTACATCTTAGATTGAATGTTTAACAACAAATATGCAAATATTAAGATAGCACACTGAACAGAACCAAGTTGGAACCTAATAATGATTAGTCCCCACCACCCTACAACTTAAAGAATTGCACTTCCAATCTCTCCACAATACAATAGATGCAGTTTTACATTATTTCAAACTTTTTCTTTAATCTAGTTGAATAAAGTTGGCAACTAGCACATCTAATTTAATAAAAGATGCAGCTGAAAATTTGAATGTTTCCCAGAGGAAAAAAAAACCCTAATATCCTGAGCCAAATGTATGATAATAAGAAGAGCAGAAAAGTTGGGACTTGAAAATATGCGTCAAGTGTCACATCTTTGGAAATAGCCACTAGCCTGTAGTCAATCAAAGTTTCTCTGCATTGGTAAAGAATGCTGATTCTATTCATTTTATTGCCTGTCTACTTCTCAGTATACTTAGCGGGTAGCTATTCATTTTTTGCCACTTTGCCAGTGGGGTTCTAATATCTACAATTTGGTGCTGAATGCAGCTTCAGAGTTTCACAAAGCACATAATTCAACACTTTAGTAAAATAATCACTGAAACATATTAGATTTCATTCTCCTACCATTGCATCCTAAGGATGATAAAAATAGGTTTCATCAGGAGAGATTTCCTGCTTCTCTAAAAAGAGAAGCAATTAAGAGAAGCTAAAATCACTTGATCATCTTCAAAAATGAGTACTTATGTGGGGTGGGGGAGAGGCACATTGCGTTGACTATAAAGTAGGTAAAAATTAAATACCTGCAAGACTGAATTATGTGAAAAATATGTTACTTTAGCTTAATAAGTACAAAAATCTATTACTTACATATTCAACTCAAATAGCTAACAATCTGCCTTCTATGCCCCCTTGAATCTGAAAACAACAAAATGAATGTATTTTGTGTTTCTTAATCCAGCACTCTATTTATACTAGCCAATTAAAACATAACCCCTTGTTTTTATTTTTAAATAATGTTTTATTTTGAGGGATTTAAAATCAATATCTGGAGCGAATGTGTCTGCATCTTTCTGTTTATTACTACTACTCGGCTGGAGGAAGATTGATTTTCCTATTAATTTTGTCATTTTTTAGGATATTAGGTTTTTACCTAAGTAAGTAATACTAGGGTATGAGTTTCAGTGAGAAAGGGTAAAAATAAAGAAAAATATCCCAAATTTAGTAAATGCAAGCATAGCTCTCAAAAGACATCGTTATAAGGTTGACAGAAAGATACCATTAGATACAACAAAAGAATAAATGGATGTCTATGTGTGTGTGTCTGTGTGTGTGTGTGTGTGCTTTAGCTAAATTTTATACATTATTGAGGTTTCCTTTTGTGTTGTCCTGATGTATTTTTTTTTCTGATCCCAGCATTCTGCTATGGTCTGAATGTTTGTGTCCCTTTCAAAATAATATATCAAAACCTAATCATAAAAGTGATGGTATTAGGGGGTATGGTTTTTGGGAGATGATTGGGCCATGAGAACAGAGCCATCTTGAATGTGATTAACACTCTTATAAAATAGGCCCAAGGAAGCTCATTTGCCCCTTCCATGATGTAAGAATTCAGTAAAAAGGCACCATCTATGAATTAGGAAGAAGGCCCTCACCAGGCACTAAATTTGCAGACACCTTGATCTTGGACTTTCCAGCATCCACAGCTGTGAAAAATAAATTTCTGCAGTTTCTAAGCCACTCAGTCTATGAATATTTTGTGATAGCAGTCCAAAGAGACAAAGGCACATCCCACCAAAGATGCTCCATGACAGTGTCATGTGTTTTAGGCTCTTGTTTGTTGTGATGGCTTCTTAGAATTTCATTTTGATGACTTAGACATTTTTGAAGAGTGCTTTGTAGACTGACTCACACTGAGATTTGTCTGATATTTTTCTTAGGTTAAGAGTGCATGAGTTTTGGGAGAAATGCAACAGAGATAAAGTGCCATTCTCATGACATCACATGGTACATGCTATCAACATGACTTCTCACTATTGATGTTAACTGTGATCACCTACTTCTCTGAGATAGTTTTTGTGAGGAGTCTCTACTGTAGATCTATGCTTTCTCTCCTTTTTTCCACTCTCTACTTTTGGAAGTATAGTCACTATCCACAGTGAACACATGAGGAGTGGGAAGTTATGCTCTGCCTCCTTTAAGGTGGAATATCTATATAAGTTATTTGCAATTCTGCACAGATTTAGTTCTTTCCCATTTATTTGTTTATGGAACTATATACATGTAATATGGACTTATGGATATTTATTTTATGCTTTGAGTTGTCCTCCAACACTTCTCTGTTTATTTTGTTGCTCAAATTGTTCTAGCTTTGGTTTTTGGGGGCTTTTTAAATTGGCTCCTATTTCCCTTTGGCATACTCTCATTTTTGTGATTCTTATGTACTTCCTTACTTTCTAGCACTGCAAGATGTTCCAAGCCCATCTTGTATACTCCTGGCCACAGCATGACAGGCAGCCATTTCTCCAGGGAGCCTTGGTTACCTTTTACTAAAGGATGATACTAGACATCAACATTAGGGCACTGCATAGCCTTGTTGTTCCTGTGTGTCATTGCTTCTATGCCTTCTCAGAGAAAAGAGCAATGAAATATATGTGTGTATACTAACTCATGTATATACACAACTCAAAAAATATTTATTCATGTATTTATTTATTTATTTATTTATTGAGAAAGAGTCTCTCTCTGTCGCCCAGGCTGGAGGGTAATGGCGTGATCTCGGCTCACTCCAACCTCCGCCTCCCGGGTTCAAGTGATTCTCCTGCCTCAGCCTCCCAAGTAGCCAGGAGTACAGGTGCATGCCACCACGCCCAGCTAATTTTTATATTTTTAGTAGAAATGTGGTTTCACCGTGTTAGCCAGGATGGTCTCGATCTCCTGACCTTGTGATCTGCCTGCCTCAGCCTCTCAAAGCAAAAAATATTTATATATGTATACATCTGTGTCATATCAGGCTAAACCATGAGTTCATACTGATCTCTCCCACTCTAATTCGCTGTCACATGTGTCATTCTAGTCTTCTCCATTTGATTGTCTATAACTTCTCTCTTTAATGATTAGAAATTTGAGTCCCATGATTTGCCATACATTTACTTAATTTTTCAATTCCAATATACATGTATTGTGGTTTCAGAAATATTAACCCATATGCCACAAGAAGATAGCTTATAGACAGACATGCTCTCTGTTTTTGACAATTATAAATAAAGTTGCTATAAACAGCTGTATAGTTTTGCGTGGGCATAAGGGTAAAAAATAGTTGGTTGCATAAATAAGACTGTTATTGCTACATTATAAGGTAAGACAATGCTTAGCTTTGTAAGAAACTGCCATTTTTCCCCAAAATATATTTACTGTCTTGCATTTTCACCAGCAATGAATGAGCATTTCTCTTGTTCTACATTATCACCAGGAATGAGTATTATCAGTTTTTTTTATTTTAGCCGTTCTAATAGGTATATAGTGGTATCCTTTGTTGTTTTAATCTTTATTTCCCTAATGTCAAAAACTGCTGAGTCATTTTTACAAATAGTTTATTTCCATCTGCACATCTTCTTTCATGAGGTGTCTGTTAGGATCTTTCGCTCATTCTTTAAATGATTTGTTTGTTTTCGTATTGGCCAATTTTAAGAGTTTTAAAAATATATTTTTGATACAAGTCCTTTATCAGATATGTGATTTCTAGATATTTTCCCTTGGTTTGTAGCTTATCTATTCCTTCTTTTAAAATTGTATTTCACAGAGAAAACATTTTAATTTTAATAAAATTCAATTTATAATATTTTATATCATGAATTGTACTTTTGATGTGTCAAAATATATTGGCTACCAAACCCAAAGTAAGTTAGCTTTTTTCTCCTATGTTATCTTTTACAATTTCATAGAGTTTCCTCTTACAATAATCCATTTAAAGTTAATTCTTTGTTTAAAGTATAAGGTTTGTGTCTGTGTACTTTTTTTGCATGTGAATGTCCAATTATTCCAGCACCATTTATTAAAAACGCTATCCTTTCTCCATTGAATTGTCTTACCTCTTTGACAAGATCAGTTGGCTGTATTTGTGTAGGTCTATTTCTGGGCTCCCTATTCTGTTAAGTTGATCTATTCATCTATTCTTTCACTTATACCACACTGTCTTGATTATTGTGGTTTGATAGTGAGTCTTGAAGTTAGGTAGTATCCACCTTCCAACTTTGTTCCTTTATATTATATTAATATTAGGTATTTTTGGATCTTTTGCCTTTCTATATAAACTTTAGGATATGTTTATTGATATCTACAAAATTGCTTGCTAATATTTTGGTGGAAATTTCATTTAATCTAAATGTTATGTTTAAAAAAAAGCACCATAATATTGAGTTTTTCAATCCACTAACAAAGAATATTTCTCCATTTATTTAGACTTTTTATATCAGAGTTTTGTAGTTTTCTGCATATAGATCCTATACATATTTTAATATATTTACATTTAAGTATTTCATTTTGGGGCAGAGTATTGTAAATGGTATTATATTTTTAATTTCAAAATCAAATTGTTAATTGCTGGTATACAGAAAACCGTGCATACAACTCCAGTAAAAACACTGTGTATACTCCCTTCCCAACTGCTGGCAGGCCACTGTGCATGCAGACAGCCCTCCCCAAGGGAAGAATCAAGGCAGAAGGGATACAAGACCCCAGAAGTATTCCAGAAAATAAACCCTACATCAAATGTCAAACTGCACACGTGTCTTTCAAGTTGCCCGCTTGGCCCTCTTGCAAGTGTACTTTTTTTCCTTCCTTTCATTCCTGATCTAAAGCTTTTTTATGAACTTTAACTCCTGCTCTAAAACCTATCTTGGTCTCTCCTTCTACCTTACGCCTCTCAGTAGAATTATTTCTTCTGAGGAGGCAAGAATTGAGGTTGCTGCAGACCCATAAAGATTTGCTGCTGGTAAAAATTTGAAGGAAACAAATCTGCTGGCAACAAATTCCCACAATTTTGTCTGAGGTAATCTTCTGTTTTGAAGGATAATTTCATGGGCTGTAGGATTCTAGGTTGGTGGATTTTTTTTCTTTTAATATGTTAAGAATTTTAATCCACTCTCTTTATGTTGCCTGGTTTCTGATGAGAAATCATTGCAATTCTTATACTTGTTCTTTTATAGATAAGAATTTTGTTTTGTTTTTGTTTTGTTTTAATCATGCTTCCTTTATAATTTTCTGTTTGTCTTTGATTTTTTTCAGTTTTAACATGCTATGCCAACAGCATTTCCATATGTTTGTTTTTGCAATTTATTCTGCTTAGCACTCTCTGAGTTTCATGAATCTGTGATTTAGTGATTATCATGGATTTTGGAAAGTTATCAGTCATTAATTTTTCAAATAACTCTTCTGCTAAGTTCTCTCTTTTCCTTCTCTCATTCCAGTTACATATTTTGGTATCGTCTTACAGTGCTTAGTTGTTCCACTTTATTTCTTTTGTACTTAATTTGATAGCTTTCTATTTGCTTATATTCAAGCTCACTAATTCTTTTCACAGCCATGTTCAGTCTACAGATGAAGCTATCAAATGTATTTTTATTTCTGTTACAATGATTCTAATTTTAAAAAGATCTTTGCAAAAATCATAACAGTAAGAAAATTACAACAGTGAAATAGATCTGATCTAATCAACTTCATCTTGCCTTTAATGTCCAAACTACCCTTGGTCATTCCTGGGCATGGGCCAAGCTAACTTACTTTGGGAGAAATTTTGTTTATAATTTAAATGATAATAGCTCTTCTCTAAAACTAAACTGCTTCTGTAAAACCTGGTTAGGAAGATGACAGGGCCTGAGTTAGTAGTTAAACAACTACTAGCCATTATTCAGGAGGTCACAAGATTTGAAACTTCCCCAGTTACTCCTGTAAATAACAACATTATTGTAAAACGTAAGATAGGCCTTGTAAGATGTGTTTTCAGGTCTTGCATTTCTGATGATTAGACGGCCCCACCCAGACCAGCAACTCCTCTGTGGACCTCACTCTGAAGCCCATTCAGTGTACAAGGACTGTTTTCCACAACCCTATGACTGAATTACCAACCAAACAGCAGCACGCATACCCTAGCTCGCTGCCTGCCAAATTATCTTTTAAAACCCTTGCCTCCAAGTTTTGAGGGAGGATTATTTGAGTAATAAAAGTCTAGTCTCTCAGTTAGCCAGATCTACATGTATTAAACTCTCTATTGCAATTCCTTTGTCTTGATAAATCGGCTCTATCTGGGCAGTGAGCAAGAAGAACCAATTAGGTGTTTACAGTTTCTATGCTTTTGACATGCATCTTAATTTCCTATTGCAACCTGGACATGTATTGAGTAATAATGTCAGAGGCGTCCTAACAAGAGTGACTCCATCTTGAATAAAGGCTGGATAAAGCCCAACCTGGTGGGTTAGATTCCTAGGAAGTTAGAGATAAGATGATTGTGGTTGAGGGAACGAGTAAATGGTGCTAACTAACTAAGGACCCAAAACTTATGAAAATGTCTCAATATTTTAAGAACAAAGGCATTCTTAGTTTAAGAATAAGTTTTGCTTTTAAGATGATAGTATACTCATAAATTCTTGCTGAAATTGATATTACTCAGGAAAATAGCAATACTAGTAGTCTGTCACAAGCTGATGACAAGATTTTATAATAACGTACACTATTCTCAGCCTTAATATCCTACATAATGAGGCATTATGTTTAAGATAGATGAGTTCCTCCTCTTGCTTTCTGAGGACGTTCTACTCTGTAATACAGTAGTTTCTAATAAATGTTTTAATGTTACTATACTCAGTGACTTGTCCTGAATCCTTTCCCATGTGAGATCCAAGAACCCACTCTTGGGGTCTGAGAGAAGATCCCTTTTCTGGCAACAATACAAACTGAGGTAAATATACCTTTAGTGTAAAGACGCATTTTAATCTGGTTAGGATTTTGGCTGTGTTTACTGTTTGCCGTTTCCATGTGTACCAGAGCCTTCAAAGACCTTGTCTTTTTCTCTCGTTTTGTGTGTTTTTTGTTGTTGTTGTTGTTTGTTTGTTTTTTTAGGGAGGGTCCCCTATAATGCCTTTTAAAATGCTGTCTTTGTCTTGCCGTTTTTTTTAGCTGTAATTAAGTTATTATTATTGGGGGTTTGTTAGTATGGTTGTATGGTGTGGGAGAGCAGAACATTCTGTAATATTTTGATTAAGTACCGTCTTTTACTGAGTCTGTATGCCAGAACTGTGACTTTTACAAGTGTCTTTGTCTCTCCTTCAGTGGTAGCACTTTTTTTCCCCCAATCTATTTCCTTAAAGACTGTCCCCTGTTAGGTACTGTTTTTGTTTGTTTGTTTATTTCTCCCTCAGGTGAGCCAGGAAAAATGGAGGTAGCTAGAATGAGGAGAATTCCCTTCCCCAACTGAGATAAGGTTTCTGAACTGTGCTCTGGCAAAGTCTTTCCTCTTGAGAGTTAGCTTTTTTTTATGAAGAGCGCTCTTGGTATGTTTCACAATGGTTATTTTCCCCTTCCCCATACCAGGATGTTCAGAATGTCTCAGCTCCTGAGACAAACTTGTGAGATTCCTGGTGGGAATATTCAGGAAAGCATAGAATTTTCCCACCCTCCCACCCCTGCCACTTGGACTGCAGCCCCCAGGATTTTCTCACTTACACTTAGTTTCCATCCATTTGTCAATATTGCTATTCAAGTATTCCTACCCATTTATGGCTTCAGTGGCTTCAGTTATAGGTAAACATCTCATACTTGTCTTCCTGGATTCACTTGTCTCTCCAGATTTCAGAGTGGTAGTTTGTCCTGTGATTTCTGGTATCTGAAAAGTCCAATAAAAGTAGATGCTTTTCAGTTGGCCCAGCTCTTTTTTGTTGAAAGAATATGAATGACAATTTTCAAGCTATTTACACATTGGATCCAAACTCTTATGGTTTTTGTGTACACACACACAAACACACACACACACAGAGCTGGTAAAGGATACAAACACTTATGAAGTTCATTTAACAAGAAATGAGGTAATATAGCATTCCCAGGCAGAGGTAGGAGGTTTCTTGTAATTAAGAAGTTCCAGAAGAGTCTGTATTTACTTTAAAGAGTTAAAATTCCACCAGTCTTAATATGGTCGCAATATCAAATTTCCTGGAGATGTTTATTTTTGTATTATTTCCTTCTCATTTCCTGTTTCTTTTGGGGCCTCTGGTAACATAGATGTAGCTCTTGAAGCTCTCAATAAAAGTCACTAATTCTTTGCTTTTAATAATAACATAGGGCAATAATGCAGCTCTTCTCATGATAATTACATTCTTTGGCCTAATCAGTCCAGAAAATGGTACTATCTCCAACATATTTTTCAACATTTACCATGAGACTAGCTGAATAGAAGTGCAAATATTCAAACATCCCATAATTTACAAGAGTAGGCTTTCGAGGTGTACAGTAGGCCTATTTATACAATGCATAAAGAATATTTTTATATTGGGCCCCAATTTTTAATGACTACAGCTAGTATATATTCATATCTATACATAGGTAGTAGTATATATCTAGAGAGTATGTTAATGTATGATTAAACTAAATTTGAAGAATAAAATTATCCTAGTTTTAGAAGTTTCAATAGCAGTTTAGACTTAATAATAATCGTGTGTGTGTGTGTGTGTGTGTGTGTGTGTGTGTGTGTGTGTGTGTATTACCTTGGAATTTCTGACTTGGGAAGTGTGGCTCCTGGAATTTGTATTTTTAATAAGGATCCCCTAGGTAATTCCTATAGTTGAAAAACTTTGGGAAGTCTTGAGCTAAGCAATTGTCACAAATGAATCCAAGTAGCCTCAGAAGTATATCAGCTAAAATAATTCAAAGGGAGAAAGAGAAAAAAACCTATTTAGACCTTGCTCATATCATCATCAGTTAGGTCTCTATCACTATATTGCATCCTTAAGAGCCTGATTTTAATGCATAAAACATTGAGATCTGTCCAGAAAAATAAAACTTTGCCTTAGGCAACCTTTTATCTTTTTGCAATATAAGCTTCTGGAGTCTATGTTGATCCTAGGTGGAAGAATGTCACATGTGGTCCCAACCTGTGTAGAGGGAACAACATAAATGTAAGAACACAGGGATAAATAAAAACATTTGGAGAGATTATTTAAAATACAGTTCTCTGATCTTTATCTCCAGAAATTTTGATGAATTAGCTACTAATTGGGGTAAAAACCTCTGCATTAATCTGTTACAAACCAGAACCCAAGCTGATACACTGTGGTTTATCTTGGTGTAACTTGCATTCATCTGGGGCTGACTTTTCTTCCAGCTGTGTCAACTTAGATCAACTCCCTTGCCTTGAAGTCCTCTTAAGACTTGTGGATAGGAGACGGCAGCGATAATTAAAAGAGAAGTTTAAACTTATGGGACACAAACTGCTTTCTTCAGTCTATTAAATAATGAGGGTTAAAGGAATCATGACAAAGAAGACACAAAGTCAGCCATATTCCAGACCTTTCTGAAGCAAGATCAAATGTTTATCTACTAGAGGAAGCAAGCTTAAAGTGCTCTTAATCAGTTTGCAATTCTGGTGTTTGATGATCGCTATATGAACTCATTCAAAGGAAAATAATTTGTAGATGCCACACAAGATTTAAAAATGGTTTAGAAAAAGGCTTTATGATTATTTTTGTAGTTAGCACAGCACACTGGAATAAAGCTAACATAGAAAACAGGAGTAATCACCTTCTAATGCAAAAGGTAGAGTTATGAGAGGTAGAAGGAAGAGCAAATTAAATAACAGCTAATGAAACCTTAAGTCTTCCAAAGGGGCTTAAAATCCTAAGTTACAATATGGAAATAGATAAGACTAATGGTATATTTGAAAGTACACAGATTTAAGTAGTTTTAGGAAAAAAAATATTCATCTCTGCTTGTTTTTCAAACCGTTAATATTTTATATCTTTCTGATTTACCAAAGACAAATAATTCACATGGTTAAACCCCTGCTTGTTCCCTTCTTCTTTCCTTCTATCTTATCTTCCTTCTTTATTTCTTTTTTTCTTTCCTTTGCCTTTTCATATAAATATTGACAAGGCATTTAATGTATAATGAGCACTGAGAGGGCAAGCAAAAATATTTGTTGAATAAATAAATTAACTTACTGTGAAAGAGAATTAGGTCCTGTTCAAGGGAGGAAGATGAGTCAAATCATTTTACAGTATTACAAGACTACTACATAAGATATGCATATATAATACTGATGTAAAGTCAGTTAAGAGATATCTTTAAATAACATAGATAATGTTTTATATAATTATATAGATAGGAGTGATTACACCCAGCTCTCAAGCCTGGAAAGTATCCAAGAATGAGGTAGTATTTTGAGTGAGTCTTAGAGAAAAATAAAAGGTATTAATAGGTGATAAATGTGTAGTATGGACTGCTCAGATTCCTTTCTTGTTCCTAAATTGCATGTGCTCTGGGCAGTGTTAGAACTTGAAGAAGGGGTTCAATATCTGCGAGTAGCTTCCACTCTCACTTAGTTGCATCCTAGACAAGTGACAGAGTCAGGTGCACCACAGCACCTTCTCAAACAGACTCAGCCAGTTACATCAGAAGAAACTTTCTATAAAAGCCTGCAACTCAGGATAGGCCTCTCACAACTGCAGAAGGTTTGCATCCTCCAAATTTATTTCCCCTACCTCCTAAGTATTTCACCTACTGTCAGTGACAAAACTGTGCTCTTCCTCTACTTCTCACACCCTCAACTGCACATACTCACGTATGAATTTTCAAAGTCTTTGAACATAATATGAAAATCAAATTTAGCTTTAAAAACTTCCTCATTCATTATAGTACATTTATAAATGACCAGTCAGCGGGCCACTATCCCACAAAAATTTACACAACCTGATACTGAGGCAGCAAACTCTGGGCCTACTACATTGCAATCTAACAAGCAACTTCTCTTTTCCTAAATCCTTAAACCGTATGTTGGAGAATCAGGCATTAAATTTGAGAAGCTAAGCGCGTCTCACATTTGCATATGCTAAATTAGGATTTTGCCAAGTCCTTTGTGGAAAGAATATAAGTATCTTCCTTAATGGGTATAGGTGTCCTTCTCCATGTCATCAATGTAGATATGCACATATAACTTCTAACATTTTCCCATTTTGTCACCTTTGCACACATTCCTGTCTCTAAAATGGTTTTGGCTCCCAATTGTCCTCCTCAAACTTGTTGCTGTGTAGTTGGCATTAACTGCACTAAATCGGTCACAACTGCTTTCAGCTACTTTGTTGTGTGTTTATCTAGATACAGTCTTTATAGACACCTCAATTTAAGGACTAGCATAGGTGCAAAATCTCAGAAAACTTCTACAACACCTCAGTTCTTTCATCCCACTTCACCAAATATCACCCAGTAACCCACTGGAGCTAGTAAAATTATTAAATCCTCTATCTTGATGTTAATTTTTATCCCTCCCTTTTGTCTAGACCTTCTCTTCTCATGATTTTGTTTGATAGAAAAACCTAGATTATTTTGAGCTAAAGAAACAGATGTCAAAATAATACATGTTTTTTAAGATGCTTGCCAATTCCTATGTCCAAAAGTCTTAAATGTCCCCCTTACTGTCAATATCCTCCTCCTACCCATTACTCACTACACATGTTACTTTTTCTCCAATCTTCTGTTTCTGTCCTAACTTTGGCTGTAAAATCAACATCTTCAAACATGGCAAATGTTTAGAATTTGCTGCTATAAACCACTCAGAGATCTAATGTCACTTAATTCCTTCTCCAAAGGAATCAGTTGAAAGTCACATTCAACTACTGCATCCAGCTGAAATCCATTTGGGAAATGCTCAGTGCTTTCCACTAGATCAAGATGATGTTTCTCATGTTTTATTGGCCTATGAATTAAACAACCAGACTATCTCACCCAACGTCCACCTAATATACAATGATGAATCAGAGGTAGAATAATGACAATAAAAATACCTAAAGGAGAATATGAATTTTTGTGAACAGCTAGTAGTCTCTAAAAAGTATTTTTTTCTAAGCTGTTAGATACTTTAACACCTCTATTAACTATAATAGTTGGTTAAATAAGATATGCTGCTTTATCATTACAATGTTTCTGAAATTGAAATACATTTTTAATGTAATGTACCACTACTTTTCTGCCCTTTCTCTGTCTACTAGAAGAGTAAATGTTAAATTATTGATATAAAGAAATATCATAATAAATTTTAAAACCTAGCCTCCTTTGCACCGGGAGCCTCTTCAAAGGTATTAATTAAGATTTTCTTGTTGAATTTACATTGAAATGTGTATAGATATGGAAAAACCAACAACATCAACATCTCATGAGAGTCTATGCAGTTTGATTAATATTTCCCTAGTGTATCAGTCATAATATGTTAGATTTTTCTGCAATTTCAAACCACCTTTCAAATTTTAGTACTTTATAGAAAACAAATATTTATTTCCAAATGTTTTCTGGATATTCTGCTCCAAAATCTCTAACTCTAGGACTCAGGCTGACAAAGGTACCGCTTTCTTGACTTCTTGAACACTAATGGTTTCCATACCATAGAGGAAGAGGTTTTCACCCTTCTAGAAAATGTTCTGGTCTCAAAGTGATAAATATTTTAGAATTCAAATGATTTTTTTCGTGTCATGGGAGAAAAGAAAACTTGTCTGATAAATTGTTTAAGAAAATTTTCAATAGAATATTATATATTGTTATGGGCTCACTTCTACCTTTTCCATCAAGGAATAGCCTCTCTCTCTGTCCTCCTTATATTTAGCCTTCAAGCTAAATAATGACTTCCTATGACTATCTCCTATAGAACTACTCCCATTTACTGTAGGACAATTTCTTCTTACTTCCACAACTCAAAAAAATGCACATCTTTAATTTGGTAAGAACTTGAAAAGGAGCCTTCCAGAGTGTTTCATTATCACTGGTCAATACAAATAATTTTAAAGGTTTCCACACAAAGGATCTCTGCCTTTGTAGCTTGGCAGTGTCTGCTACAAACATGAGAAGCTTGGAAATTGAACCAGGTATCTCTATTACTTGTAATTTCAGCTATCAGGTCAGTTTTGAATTAAACTGAATGTCTAGCATTGATATTCTCATCAAATTTGAGGAGCCAAAGTGATTATAGATTAATGATTATTCTTGATTAACATGGAATCTGCCTACCATTAGCAGGGATATTGTAATTATAGAATCACATACTTCTTAAGCTGAAAGCCTCTTTAACCCAATCCTTTCATTTTATTTATTTATTTATTTTATTTTATTTTTTTTGAGATAGAATCTCGATATGTCTCCCAGGCTGGAGTGCAGTGGCGCAATCTCAGCTCACTGCAACCTCTGCCTCCTGGGTTCAAGCAATTCTCTTGCCTCAGCCTCCCGAGTAGTTGGAATTTACAGGTGCCTGCCACCACGCCCAGCTAATTTATGTATTTTCAGGAAAGACAGGATTTCACCATGTTGGTCAGGCTGGTCTTGAACTCCTGACCTTAAGCAATCCACCCACCTCAGCCTTCCAAAGTGCTGGGATTACAAGCGTGAGCCACAGCACCCAGGTATTCCTTTCATTTTATGAATTAGAATACTGAGATGCAACTGTGGAATGTTAGCAAAAGTACTGACTTTGGAACATCAAATATCTCCATATTTTATTTCTTGTCTGCTTGGAGAGACTTTAACTGGATGAGGACTTTCATATTTGAAAAGATTAAATATTTCTCTAAAATTTGTTATATAGGCAGGAACACCAGATGTTAATACTCATTTGTGTGGGTCTTTTGAATTCTGATAGTTGTAAACTGCATTGATTTAGAATGGTGTTAGCCCAGAATAGTTTGAAATCAGTGAAACACTGCAAGGCTTCATTGCAATAATCTCTATATCATTTTAATTGTAGAGAATATGCTGTAACAGAGGGCTACTTACTGGTTTGTAAGATTCCACATCACCATTTTGGGCTAACTTAGAATGTGGATCAGAACTAACTTGTAACATTATTTTTTGTGCCATGGACTCCTTTTGCAGGCTAGTGAAGGCTATGAAACTCGTTTCAAAATAATAGTCTTAAAGGAATACAACAACATAATAATAAAGAAACTTAAATATAATAAGAAAACAAAATGATGCATTATATAGTTATTAAAACATTTCAAAATACACAATGAAGTAATGTATTACTTGCATAGTAATATTTATCAACATATTACAACTGTAATTTTAACATATAAATTAATATAAATGACATTTTGATATAGCTGCAACAACTGGACTACAATTTATGAATACATGCCATTTCTATTGATTACACAGATGATAATACTACTGTGTCTTGTTGCTTACATTTATAATTGAAGGAAACACTGTAATAAGTTTCAGTTAGAGGTTAGTTAAAATAAAGATGTAAACATTTCCCAATCCAAGTGCATGAACAGACTGAATTATATCCACAGACTTGTGCACCTCAAGTTAAAAGCATTATTTAAACTAATGTAATAGAAAGGAGATATAGAGTCCAAAGAATGTATATTTAAAAAGTAATTTAGTATAAAATGTTTAGATTTTATGTCCCATTTGATTTGAATAAGGTAAGTGCATTCTACTTGCTATTATTAGTATTAATATAGTTTCAAATTTTATAGATATATTTACTCAATCATACCATAAAACCTTCTACTGAAATCTGTATTATTCTTCCAATGGCCTCTGAACTCAAATATTATAACTAGAGAAGTATCTCTGTTGTTTTAAATAAATCATACAGAGAAAAATTCATTTATTTTAGAGAATAAAATACATTGCATTAATACAACATTAAAGTTTATTTCCTCAAGCAGAGTTATTTATCAGTCATGAAATACACTGATTTATGACCAACTAATAGTAAAACAACAGCAAAAAAAAAAAAAGAAATTACATGTCCTGTTAACTTGTTTAGCAGATTAAGGTATGCTAACCTGTGCTATATAAATTTGTTTCTATAATTTTTACATGTACAATAATTACTATTGTGTTCTAAATAATTCATTTTCCCTTCCTCATATAATACTTAGTAAAAGCATTCTCCCAATTTTTGAAATTTAAATAATGAGTCATTATATGCTCAGTATAAAGCCTTCATTGAAATGCATTTGAATAACTTTCCTCCTAGATATAAAAATATTATTAATCTCAGATGATAGAGATCCGTTCTGAAAACTATCAAGGTATCAAGTGCTTTCCTTGCTTCATTTATTTCTGGAAATAGCAAATAAAGTGATCACTAGAAAATACAAAGAAAAAGAGCATTTTAAAAGAGAAAATTAAGTCATAGGGATGGACAAAAGCACAATGATCATGAATCTTAAGTTTTATATTTGAATTTGTAAACTATTTTGTAGCTTTCTGATAGTGACAACTATAGCCTATATCAGGAATCAGCAAACTATGGCCCTCAGGGTAAATCCAGACTCATTTTGGTAGCCCATGAGCTAAGAATAATAGTCATATTTTTAAATGGTTGAAAAAAATAAAAATAATGTTTCATCATATATGAAAAGCATATAAAATTCTAATCTCAGATCACATATATGAAATTTTATTGATTCATGCTCATTTGTTTTTGTATTGTCTACAGCTGCTTTTATGTTACAGAGGCAGAGTTATGTAGATTTAACAGACACTCAATAGCTGTCAAAGCTGAAAATATTTGCTATATTTACTATTTTTATAATAAAAAAGCCAAACTGTTCTATATGATGAAAAGTTTACTGCTTAATAATGACATTTTCTGTTAAATGTTTCTTATTTAAAAATCACAGCTGATCTATCTTTCACAGGCCATCTTTCTTTGTCACTCCCAATGTTGATCATGGAGGTCTCAGGGCATTCATTTCACAAATACTTATTGAGTGGTACCTTCCAAGTGCGAGGCATTGTGTCAGGTGAGAATACAGAGGGTAGCAAAAATAACCTGTGTATGAATCAACTTTATTGTAGTCCTAGATTTCTCCTTAGTGGTTTTACTTTTGCTTGGGTTTCCTTATAAAATGTTACCTTAGACATTTAATATACATCTCTCCTTGCATCCTTTTCTTCCTATGGCTCTTTCACATTGCCTATATAAGAATAGAAATGAAGGCAAATGACACATTGAGAAGCACATTTCTTATGTCCTGACAGAACTATATTTTTTGGATCAAGTTTATCTACCCATATTCTCTATAACCTTTGAGTGAGTGTTTAAACAAGGTACCAGTCTTTCATGCAAATATACCTATACTACTTCCACCCTTTAAACATGTCTATGAATTTCTAAATTCAGGAAGTATTCAGTTGAAACCATGCAGCACTGTTACATTAAAAACATTACATGTCTTGAAAATTTCAGAATGTTATTTACACTAGGGAGGTTTGTTTGTGAATAAATAGCTTACTACTATACAATACTTTCTTGCTACATTGGTATGAAAATTGTGTCTAATAGGATATTACAGTGGTTTGAGTGCCACCTCCAAAACTCATGTTGAAATTTAATTGTCATTGTGATGGTAATAAGAGATGGGACCTTTAATAGGTGATTAGGTAATAAAGGTTCTCCCCTCATTAGTGGATTAATGCTCTTATTACAGCAGTGAGCTCTTAATGAAAAGATGAAGTTTGGCCCTGATTTGCTCTCAGTCTCATGAGTTTGCTTACACTTCTGCCTCCCACCATGGGATAACACAGCATGAAGGCCCTCACTGATGCTGGTGCCATGCCTTTGACTCCCCAGCCTCAAGAACCATAAGTCAAATAATCTTCTGTTCTTCATAAATTACCTACTCTGAATTGTTAGTATGAAGGGGTGTTGAATTTTATTGAAGGCCTTTTCTGCATCTATTGAGATAATCATGTGGTTTTTGCCATTGTTTCTCTTTAT
Organism: Homo sapiens; assembly: GCF_000001405.40. Classification (NCBI taxonomy): domain Eukaryota; kingdom Metazoa; phylum Chordata; class Mammalia; order Primates; family Hominidae; genus Homo; species Homo sapiens. Next base: position 88,010,806 of record NC_000023.11, on the reverse strand, counting down.
GTTATGGATTACACTTATTGATTTGCATAATCAAATGTTGAACCAGCCTTGCATCCCATGGATGAAGCTGACTTGATCGTGGTGGATAAGCCTTTTGATGTGCTGCTGGATTCGGTTTGCCAGCATTTTATTGAGGATTTTCGCATTGATATTCATCAGGGATATTGGCCTGAAATATTCTTTTTTTGTTGTGTCTCTGCCAGGTTTTGGTATCAGGATGATGCTGGCCTCATAAAATGAGTTAGGGAGGAGTTCCCCTTTTTCTGTTGATTGGAATAGTTTCAGAAGGAATGGTACTAGCTCCTCTTTGTACTTCTGGTAGAATTTGGGTGTGAATCCATCTGGTCCTGGGCTTTTTTTGGTTGGTAGGCTATTAATTACTGTCTCAATTTCAGAACTTGTTATTGATCTATTCAGGAATTCAATTTCTTCCTGGTTTAGTCTTGGGGGTGGTGGATGTGTCCATGAACTTATCCATTTCTTCTAGAGTTTCTAGTTTATTTGTGTAGAGATATTTATAGTATTCTCTGATGATAGTTTGAATTTCTGTGGGATCAGTGGTGATATCCCCTTTATTATTTTTTATTGTGTCTATTTGATTCTTCTCTCTTTTCTTCTTTATTAATCTTGCTAGTGGACTATTTATTTTGTTGATCTTTTCAAAAAACCAGCTCCTAGATTCATTGATTTTTTGAAACATTTTTTTGTGTCTCTATCTCCTTTAGTTCTGCTCTGACCTTAGTTATTTCTTGTCTTCTGCTAGATTTTGAATTTGTTTGTTCTTCCTTCTCTAATTCTTTTCTTTGTGTTGTTAGGGTGTTGATTTTAGGTCTTCCCTGATTTTCCTTGTTGGCATTTAGTGCTATAAATTTTCCTCTACACACTGCTTTAGCTGTGTCCCAGAGATTCTGCTATGTTTTGTCTTTGTTCTCATTGGTTTCAAAGAACTTATTTATTTCTGCCTTAATTTTGTTATTTACCCAGTAGTTATTCAGGAGAAGGTTGTTCAGTTTCCATGTAGTCGTGTGGTTTTGAGTGAGTTTCTTAATCCTTAGTTCTATTTTGTTTGCATTGTTGTCTGAGAGACTGTTTGTTATGATTTCCATTCTTTCGCATTTGCTGAGGAGTGCTTTACTTCCAATTATGTGGTCAATTTTAGAATAAGTGCAATGAGGTGCTGAGAAGAATGTATATTCTGTTGATTTGGGGTGGAGAGTTCTGTAGATATCTATTGGGTCCACTTGGTTCAAAGCTGAGTTCAAATCCTGAATATCCTTGCTAATTTTCTGTCTCATTGATCTGTCTAATACTTACAGTGGGGTGTTAAAGTCTCTGACTATTATTCTGTGGGAGTCTAAGTTTCTTTGTATGTCTCTAAGAACTTGCTTTATGAATCTGGGTGCTCCTGTATTGGGTGCATACATGTTTAGGATAGTTAGCTCTTCTTGTTGCATTGATCCCTTTGCCATTATGTAATGTGCTTTTTTGTCTTTTTTGATTTTTGTTGGTTTAAAGTCTCTTTTATCAGAGACTAGGACTGCAACCCCTGCTTTTTTCTTGCCTTCCATTTGTTTGGTAAATATTCCTCTATCCCTTAGCAAAAAGAACAAAGCTGGAGGAATCATGCCAGCTGACTTCAAACTATACTACAAGGCTATGGGAACAAAAACAGCATGGTACTGGTACCAAAAGAGATATATAGACCAACGGAACAGAACAGAGGCCTCAGAAATAACAACACACATCTACAACAATCTGATCTTTGACAAACCTGACACACACAAGCAATGGGGAAAGGATTTCCTACTTAATAAATGGTGTTGGGAAAACTGGCTGGCCATATGCAGAAAACTAAAACTGGACCCCTTCCATACACCTTATACAAAAATTAACTCAAGATAGATCAAAGACTTAAATGTAAGACCTAAAACCATAAAAATCCTAGAAGAAAACCTAGGCAATACCATTCAGGACATAGGCATGAGCAAAGACTTCATGACTAAAACACCAAAAGCAAAGGTAACAAAAGCCAAAATTGACAAACGGGATCTAATTAAACTAAAGAGCTTCTGCACAGCAAAAGAAACTCTCATCAGAGTGAAAAGACAACCTACAGAATGGGAGAAAAATTTTTGCAATCTCTCCATCTGACAAAGGGCTAATATCCAGAATCTACAAAGAACTTAAACACATTTATAAGAACAAAACAAACAACCTCATCAGAAAGTGGACGAAGGATATGAACAGACACTTCTCAAAAGAAGACCTTTATGTGGTCAACAAACATGAAAAAAAGCTCATCATCACTGGTCATTAGAGAAATGCAAATCAAAACCACAATGAGATACCATCTCACACCAGTTAGAATAGCAATCATTAAAAAGTCAAGAAACAACAGATGCTGGAGAGGATATGAAGAAATAGGAACGTTTTTACACTGTTGGTGGGAGCGTAAATTAGTTCAACCATTGTGGAAGACAGTGTGGCGATTCCTCAAGGATCTAGAACCAGAAATACCATTTGATCCAGCAATCCCATTACTGAATATATACCCAAAGGATTATAAATCATTCTACTATAAAGACATATGCACATGTATGTTTATTGCAGCACTGTTCACAATAGCGAAGACTTGGAACCAACCCAAATGCCCATCAATGATAGACTGAATAAAGAAAATGTGGCACATATGCATCATGGAATACTATGCAGCCATAAAAAAGGATGAGTTCATGTCCTTTGCAGGGACATGGATGAAACTGAAAACCATCATGCTCAGCAAACTAACACAAGAACAGAAAAACAAACACCACATGTTCTCACTCATAAGTGGGAGTTGAACAATGAGAACACATGGACACAGGGAGGGGAACATCCTACACTGGGCCTTGTCATGCGTTTCGGGGCTAGGGAAGGGATAGCATTAGGAGAAATACCTAATGTAAATGGCTGGTTGATAGGTACAGCAAATCACCTTGGCACATATATAACTATGTAAAAAACCTGCACGTTCTGCAAATGTATCCCAGAACTTAAAGTATATTTTAAAAACATAAGTAAATTACCTATTCTGTGGTATTCAGTTATAGCATTAGAAAATGGAAGAAGGCAGAAAATTGGTATCAAAAAGTGGGGCTGTTGCTATAAGAAATACCTGCAAACATGGAAGCAGTTTTGGAACCAGGTAATGGGCAGAGGCTGGAAAAATTTAGAAGAGCAGGCTAGTAAAAGCCTGTATTGCAGTGAATGGGGAAAGAAGGACAATTTTGGAGAGGACTCAGAAGAGGAGAGCTGTAGGGAAAGTCTGAATCTTCTCAGTGATTATTTGCTTGGTTGTAACCAGAATATGAGTAGAAATATGGACAGTAAAGGCCTTTCTGATGAGGTTTCAGATGCAAATAAAGAACCTCATATCGGAAACTGGAGTAAAGTCTATATTTGTTACACATTTTCAAAGAACTTGGAAGAATTGTGTCCACGTCCCAAGAGTTTATGAAATGCACAACTTAAGAGTGATAAAATAGGATATCTGGTGGAAAAAAATATCTAAGCAGCAAAACATTCAGCCTGCTCTGTGGCTAATTTTAACTACATAGAGTGGGATGCAAGAGAAAAAAATGACTTAAATATTAAATTTATAATTAAAAGAAAAGCAGAATGAAAAGACTTTGAAAATTTTCTGATTGGCCATGTGAAATGTAAAAAGGCCTGTTTAGGAGCGCAAACTAAAGGTCTGGCTAATTAACCATTTGATAAGGAGATTGCTTTGAATAGTACAAAACCAAAGTCTCTTTATTAGAACAATGGGAGAAAGAATCCAAAGGAATTTCAGAGATCTTCCAGGCTGCCCCTCTCATCACATGCTCAGAGCTCTAGGAGGGCAGGATGGATTCCAAGGACAGGTCTTCCATGGTCTCACTGCCCAGAGCTAACTTGGGTCTCTAGCCCTTGCATTCCAGCAAAGAACTCCTTGGCTGCTTCAGTGATTATTCCAGTGGGCTCAGGTTCAGCTCAACCCTCTGCTTCAGAATGTACAAGCAGTAAGCTTTGGCAATGTCCATATGAAACTAATTTTGCAGGAATGGAGAATGCAAGAGTTAAGGGGGCTTCTTCCACCTTGATTTTAAGGCCCACAGATGACCTGTGGACCCAGGAAGAAAATTACCGTAGAATGGAGCCACCACATAGAGGGCCTACTGGGGAAATGCTAAGCAAAAAAGCGAGGTTGGAGCTGCCACGGAGAGTCCACACTAGGGCAATGCCTAGTGGAATGATGGGAGTGAGACCACCTCAGAGACCAAACAACTGCAGGGCCACCAGCTTGCAACTCCAACCTGTAAGAACGGCTGCACAGGCTGAGACCAGTTTCATCACAGGGGAGAGGTTTCCTGAGGCCTTGGAGGTTAAACACTACAACAGTGTTTCCAGGATGTGAGATGTGAATTCAAATGGGATTTTTCTCTAACTTTAAAACTTAATGTTGTTTGTCCTGTTGGGTTTGGGACTTATTTGGGACAAGTTGTCTGTCTTTTCTTGCCTATTTCTCTATTATGGGATGTGAATGTCTATTCTATGCATGTCCCACCATTATATTTTGAAAGTAGATAACTTATTTTGATTTCACAAGCTTATAGATGTAGGGAATTTTTCTCAGAATGAATCATGACTTAGTCTCACTCATTCTGGCTTATTTATTTAATTTTTTGAGACCAGATTTTACTCTGTGGCCCAGGCTGGAGTGAAGTGGTGCTATCACAGCTCACTGAATTCTTGAACTCCTGGGCTCAAGTGATTCTCCTACCTCAGCCTCCCAAGTAGCTGAGACCACAGATGTGTACCATGTCTGGCTAATTTTTTTAATAATTTTGTACAGATGAGATCTCCCTGTGTTGCTCAGACTGGTCTCAAACTTCTGAGCTCGAGTAATCCTCCCACCATGGCCTCCAAAATTGCTGAGATTGCAGGCATGAGCCACCATGCCTGGCCCGATATCTGATTTAAATGACTTTCTTCACAGAATTGGAAAAAACTACTTTAAAGTTCATATGGAACCAAAAAAGAGCCCACATCACCAAGTCAATCCTAAGCCAAAAGAACAAAGCTGGAGGCATCACGCTACCTGACTTCAAACTGTACTACAAGGCTACAGTAACCAAAACAGCATGGTACTGGTACCAAAACAGAGATATAGACCAATGGAACAGAAAAGAGCCCTCAGAAATAACACCGCATATCTACAACTATCTGATCTTTGACAAACCTGACAAAATCAAGCAATGGGGAAAGGATTGCCTATTTAGTAAATGGTGCTGGGAAAACTGGCTAGCCATATGTAGAAAGCTGAAACTGGATCCCCTTCCTTACACCTTATACGAAAATTAATTCAAGATGGATTAAAGACTTACATATTAGACCTAAAACCATAAAAACCCTAGAAGAAAACCTAGGCATTACCATTCAGGACATAGGCATGGGCAAGGACTTCATGTCTAAAACACCAAAAGCAATGGCAACCAAAGCCAAAATTGACAAATGGGATCTAATTAAACTAAAGAGCTTCTGCACAGCAAAAGAAACTACCATCAGAGTGAACAGACAACCTACAAAATGGGAGAAAATTTTCGCAACCTACTCATCTGACAAAGGGCTAATATCCAGAATCTACAATGAACTCAAACAAATTTAGAAGAAAAAAACAAACAACCCTATCAAAAAGTGGGCGAAGGACATGAACAGACACTTCTCAAAAGAAGACATTTATGCAGCCAAAAAACACATGAAAAAATGCTCACCATCACTGGCCATCAGAGAAATGCAAATCAAAACCACAATGAGATACCATCTCACACCAGTTAGAATGGCAATCATTGAAAAGTCAGGAAACAACAGGTGCTGGAGAGGATGAGGAGAAATAGGAACACTTTTACACTGTTGGTGGGACTGTAAACTAGTTCAACCCTTGTGGAAGTAAATATGGTGATTCCTCAGGGATCTAGATCTAGAAATACCATTTGACCCAGCCATCCCATTACTGGGTATATACCTAAAGGACTATAAATCATGCTGCTATAAAGACACATGCACACGTATGTTTATTGCAGCATTATTCACAATAGCAAAGACTTGGAACAAAGCCAAATGTCCAACAACGATAGACTGGATTAAGAAAATGTGGCACATATACACCATGAAATACTATGCAGCCATAAAAAAGGATGAGTTCATGTCCTTTGTAGGGACATGGATGAAATTGGAAATCATCATTCTCAGTAAACTATCGCAAGGACAAAAAACCAAACACCGCATATTCTCACTCATAGGTGGGAATTGAACAGTGAGAACACATGGACACAGGAAGGGGAACATCACACTCTGGGGACTGTTGTGGGGTGGGGGGAGGGGGGAGGCATAACATTAGGAGAAATACCTAAAGCTAAATGACGAGTTAATGGGTGCAGCATACCAGCATGGCACATGTATACATATGTAACTAACCTGCACATTGTGCACATGTACCCTAAAACTTAAAGTATAATAATAATAATAATAAATGAGACTTTATATACTTTCAACCTTTGAGTTGGTAATGGACTGAATTAAGATTTGGGAGCTACTGGGATGAAATGAATGTGTTTTGTGTATGAGTTTTGAGTAGCTAGGATCAGAATGGTATCATTTGAACAGTGACTCTCAAACTTATATTGAAATTTACTTGGCCTTGTGTTGCTTTTAAGAGGTGGGATCTTTAAGGGGTGATTAAGTCATAGGGGGTCTGCCCTCATGAATGGTTTATGCAGTTATCAGTGTAATGGTCTCTTGATTTAAGGATAAAGTTAGACCATCATTCTTTCTGTCTTATCCAGTTGCTTGCCTTTCCACCTTTGCCACGGGATAATGCAACATGAAGTCCCTCACCAATGCTAGTGACATGCTCTTGGACTTCCAGGTCTCTAGTACTGTTAGCCAAGTAAGTTTCTGATTATTATTAATTACTCAGCCTGGTGTTCTGTTATGGCAGCAGAAAACAGATGAAGAAAGGTATATTAAAGTCATATACAAATGTAAATATTAATGATCTAAGTACTCTTACATTTACTTACTCATCTAAGAAATATCTATTGCAACTGTCATAATTAAAGCTATGCTTTTCCGTTTTGTCCCCCAAAATCACTAAACTATCAAGGCTTAAAGTAAACTTTGCTAGACAATCAAAAACCTAGTTATGACCAGCCTTCCAACATGCCCTGGTTGGGATATGAAATTATTTTGTTCTCCAAATATATTCTAAACCTCATGCATTTCAAAACCATATTTAATATTTGTCTATAACTACTATAGTATAGAATATTTGTGCTATAAATACATATTGTTTGATGCTATCAATAGCAATTAAGACATTTTATTTTGCAAGTCAGTAAAATAATATTGTTTTTGTAATTTAAAGAAAGGCTGATGAAAGTTGCTCACACAAATGCATTTATCTTATAAGAGTGTTTGGTACATAGCAGATAATCTATAAATTTTTTTAATGAACACTTACATTTTTACTCAAACAAATTTAAATTTATGTTAATTAATAATGTATATTTCTCTTAGGGTTGCAAAGACAATTCATAATTTAAAAAAATTTTTCTACACCAAAATTATATCAACAATAGCAAGCTAAAATCTGATTTTTGGGAATATGAAATGATAAATGTGTATCAGTTTGCATTTTATAAATGGTATCTATTTGTATTGATTGAATATAAAGCTACCATCTCATATGAAGCCACCCAAAGAGCATAATATAAATTTGTTTTGGTTTTACTGATCATCCTTGTATACTGTACTCTAGTTTTTTTTTTTTCAGTGATAAAATGCCATTCAGCTCTAATTGTCTAATTGCCTAGCTACCTATCAAACAACAGTTATATACTTTATACCTAATCTGCATTTATTTAGTAAAATGGATTGATTTCCCTGTGTCGTCGTTTACTGTAGTCTAAATTATCCTAAATATTGGCAATAAAACTTTAAATTCTGCCAGAAAAAGCAAATCAGTCATTTACATTTTTCTTTAGAACAATTTAGCTTTACATGTATAGAAAAATCACTCTACATTACATATACAAGGAGAGAAGAGAGTAAGGTCACTGAAGCCTCAGTCAAAATAACATGGCCACAAAATAGGGGCATCCCAAACCTTTTGTTACTCCTTACCTTAATAATGTAGAATCAGTGTCAAAAAGAACTAATTGAATTAATGAACATTCTAAAGAACTCTCAAATCTTAGGGGACAAAAGGCTGCTTCTAGAAAGGTCTTAAAACTCTATTAAAAACAGTTGAATAGCAATCACTGCAGTAAAAGGCACTGCTATTCATAATAATTGTGAAAACTTAGAATTGCTCTGTAAAGCAACTGGTGTAACTAAAAAGCTTCAGTAGATTTATGTCATTTCCCATGTAAAAAGTCACAGGATTTTCTTCTTTGGTTCTAAACATTAATATTTTTAAAAAAGTTTGTGGGGTTGGGCAATAATCTATAACTGTAGTAAAAAAGGCAGTGTAGCTTTTTGTCTGGGGAACACTTGAAGGCCAAAAACAAGTAATGCAAGCAGCAGTGGTATATCAAACATAAACACTGAGGCAATATACTAAAGTAAAAAGTATACTGTAGCTAAGAATTAGAATACCTGAAGTGTCTTTCCAGCTCTGATGTGTATGAGTCACTTTTCTGGGCCACCGTGAACTCAGCTGTACCAAGAACATTAGATGACAAGCTCTACTCAAGCATGCATAAGTGTTCAATATATATTTGCCAAATTAATGAAAATGAATGCTTTCCCTCTTCACTAGAGACAACATACAATATTATTTTAAAATATAGCAATACATAAGCATGGTGATATTATTGTTAATCTGTACTCTTCAATCAACTGCCAATAATTGTGTACAACTGGGTGGGTACCTGTGTTAGCTGGGTTCTCCAGAAGTAAAATGCTGAGCCAGAGTTAGGGGTGCAAATGGTTGATTAGAGAGTAATACCTGTCAAAAGAAAAAAAAGAGAAGAAACAGAACAGAGCAATGGGAGCCATCAGATCAGGATGTAGACCTTACAAAGTCTCTGGTTGCCCAACAGAGAGATCTGTATCAAAGACTGCATTATAGATAAATTCTGTTGGAAAGATACAATGGGCCATCATCTTGCCTTGGAGCTTCCCCAAACAGATTTTAACCTTGCCTACTACTTCATTGTTAAGTCACTTGCCATATTAGCCCAGAGAAGAGTGTAATCTTAGCTTGACAGCTGTGGAAGAACCAGAAAAAAAAACAATTATCTGGAAGCTGTCAGCTACTATGCTCCCTGCAACTAAGCAAGCAGTTTTTTTAAAAAGAAAGAGTGAAGCAGACGTCTCTGCATCTGCCAAGTACATAACCTGCCTGTGTCTTAGTGCTGTCATCCATAAAATAGAAATATAGCCAGATTACCAACTATACCTCACATAGAAGAGATATTTGATATTTGTGTGCGACTAAGAGTGGTTGTATTAGTCAGGGTTCCTAGAGAAAAAAACCAATATACATATAAATAATTTATAACAGCAATACTATAAAGTGGGGATTATGTATAGGTGTAGAATTTTTGCATGTTATTAAAATAGTTATCAGCTTGAAACAGAATGCTATAACCTTAAGATATGTGATATATTGCAATAGCAACCATAAAGGAAGTATCTATAGAACACACATAAAAGAAAATGTGTGAAGGGAATCAAAACATGCTACTCTAAAAAAAGTCCACAAAACACAAAAAGACATTAAGAGAAAAATTGAAGAACAAAAAGCCACAAGACATGTAGAAAACAATCAACAAAATGGCAATAGTAAGTCCTTCCCTATGAGTAACTACTTTAAATGTAAATTGATTAAACTCTCTAATTGGAGAAATAGATTAGCTGAATGGATAACAAAACTTTATTCAACTATATGATGTCTACCATAAATTTACTTTAGATTTAAGAATACATATACATCATTAAAAGTAAAATGATGAAAAAATATTCCATGCAACTTAATACAAGGGTGGCTAGGTTAATACCAAAGTACTCTTCAAGTCAAAAACTTATACAGGAGACAAAGGACATTATATAAAAATAAAATCTTCACCAAGAAGATATAACAGCTATATATATATATATATATATATATTCATCAGATGGTAGAGCTCCTAAATACATAAATGATATTTTCACAGAATTGAACATAGAAATAACAGTATCCCAATAATACTAGGAAACATTGATTCACCGTTTTCAATAATGCACAGAACTACCAGACAGAAGACTGATAAAGAAAGAGAGCACGTGAACACCACCATAGACCCGTTGGACCTGAAAAACATATACGGAAAACTCCACCCAACAACAGCAAAATACACATTATTCTCAACTGTACATGGAACATTTTCCAAGACAAACCACACAGTAGGCCACAAAACAAGTCTCAAAAAAAGGAAAAGATTGAAATTATACAAAGTATCTTTTCTGATCACAATAGAGGAAGACTGGACATCAGTAGCAAAAAGAAAACTGAAAAATCACCAAATATGTGGAAATTAAACAACACACTCTTAACCAATGGATCAAGAAGAAGTCACAAGGCAAACTAGAAAATACTTTGGGACAAATGAAAAAAAAAAAAACACACAGCATATGTACATTTTTAGAATGCAGCAAATGTAGTGCTAAAAGTGAAGGCTATAGCTATACAAGTGTACATTTAAAAAGAAGAAAGATCTCTAATTAACAACCTAACTTTATACTTTAAGAAACTAGAAAAAAATAAATCTAAAGCTGCCAGAAGGAAATAATAGAGATTAGATCAGAGATTGATGTAATACTAAGAAATGCCCTAAAGGATCCCCTATATTCAAAGCATACTCTTTCTTACCTTAACTGTGAAGTAACAGTCTAATTTCCCCTTAGTAATCAGGCTCAATCAAGCCAGCCAGTATTGCAACTGCCTTCATTGTCTTTTGATTCAGAACATTGAGGGGCCCAAAGTGAATGCAGAGAAGTCTTAACTTTCAGTTCATTGTTGTGTCTCCTTCTGGAAGCGTTTGTCCCTTTGGACCAAAGATTTCTAGGTTAGCAGAGTATGAGGTTTCAGAGACAGGGGAAAGAAAAAATCCTAATGGATTATTAAGGGTAATAGTGAGTAGCACAACTTTCACTTTCACCCCTTGATTCCTGGACCAATTAATTCTGCCTGTGGGAGAAACAGTGCCATATATTTGATGCTTATTTATAACATATACAGCGTCCTGTACAATCTTCCCCCAGCCCTACAAGGTGCTAGTACATAGCCTGCAATGCAACTAAATTTTCAAAAGGCCATTCCACTGTTTTATCCAACCAGATGCTTTAAGATGATGTAACCAGTGAAGTCCTTGAGTGTAAGCTCATCACCATACTTCATTTCATGTGGCACAATTCTTGATTAGAAACAATAGTCTAGAATATTATGATGATAGATGTATGGTGGTGAACAGTAGTTTTGGAAGAAACATTGAGTACAGAGAAGACAAATTCATATCCAGAGTAACTGTCTTTTTTATTAAGAAAAATATGCTGCACTTTTAATGATAGAAGCAGACCAATTTAGTCAACTTTCCAGCATGTGGCTATCTGATCACTTGAGAAAATGATGCCATATTCAGGACTCAGCATTTGTCCTTGCTGCTAGCATATTGCGAATTCAAAAGTGGTTGTAGCAAGGCTAGCTTTAGCGAGTGGAATTCCATCTTGCTGACCTGTGAATAACCTCCGATTCCTGCCACAATGGGTTATTGTTTCATAAGTTCATTGGACATTGAGATGGGTGGCTGGGAAGAGAGAAAGAATAATATTCATAGAACAAGTAATTATATCCATTTGATTATTAAAATCTGCTGAGGTAACTATTTGGTGAGCATATACGTGGGACAAACATATCCTCGTTGATTATTAAAACCTTCTGCTGAGGTAACTATTTGGTGAGCATATACGTGGGACAAACATATCCTAGTTTATCAGCCATGCAAAGAAATCTGTCCACATACCTATTCTCCATATCTCCTTGTACGCAAATTTCCATTTATGTTCCTTGGAAGTCCCTGACCATCTACACAAACCATAAGACCACAACTTATGAATTGGTATGCAGTCACATGTCTGGCCATTTCTCCTTTCAAGAGAAGTGAACAACCAGGTGCACTGCTCAAAACTATACCTTTTGGGTAGATATTCCTCCACCATAGTCTTTCAGGGATGATCTAGAAAGGAGAGGTAATGCTACAACTGTCCATTTTCAGTTGCATCTGAATATCACGCAAGAAGCACCAGTAAACCAGGCCTGAGTGTCCTCTTCCTCTGAAAACTAATTGAAGAGAACTTATACAGCCATAGGAGCTAGCTGGGAGACAGAAAATAATGTAACAAGAATGGTGACCACGGGAATTTGGGTCATTTCTTCACGTAAGTTACTTGTGCCCTCACATCCTGCTTCAGACCAATTTTTATATGTCACTTTCATTTTATGATGGAATATTGTGCTTTTAAAAATTTATGGTTTAGCGGGTCAGACAACACCGAGTTCATGACAGACAGCTCAGGTTCCATGATCACTTGTTAGCCTATGGTTAAGCATTCGGTCCCTATTCAGGCCCAGTAGCAAGTCAAAGAGCAGTTTATCAAAAGAAGAGTAATTTTCTGCAGAAGATGCCATAGATATTTTTCAAAATTTTAAAGATCTGCGCTTTATGTTTAGGTGCCTACCAAAAGTCCAAAAGGCATCTCTATCTGCAACCGACACTTCAAACACCATTGAGTATACTGTCTCAAGTGGCCCTAGTGGCAGAACAGCTTGAACAATGGCCTGTACTTCTTGCAGAGACTTCACTTGTTCTGGGTCCCCTTGAAAACTAGAAGCTTTTTGAGTCATATGATAAAGGAATAAAGTAGTGCACCCAAGTGAGAAATATGTTGCCTTCAAAATCCATGCCAACCTTGCCTTTAGTATTTGAGCACTGCCACTTGGCCCTTGCCATCCCAGAATCCAATTATTCTTATGGAATTTAGGTTACCCAATTAAGTGGCAGCAGTTCCCACTGTAATGTGTGCCTTATATAGAAGAGCAACCGCAGAGTTCTTAAAGGATGTTGGGCCTTCTGCCACAAATTTATTTCTCACAGTCATGGTAAAAGGTGTATTCTCACAGGGTGAATGCACAGTTCTTATCCCACACCCTTAATACCCATTCTCATATATATTCAAAGGATTTCTGTCTGAATAAATTGGAAAAATATTTTAGTTATTTTGCAACTTAGCTCACATCTTCATGGGTCACACTTTGTACATCATCTTCAGTGGTTTGCTGAGACTTCAGTCTAGTTATAAGTATAGAAGTACAAAGGGTTAGGGGTGGCCATGAGGACAATTAGTGTCTTGCTCAGTAACTACCTCTGGGAGACCATTATAGTTTCCTCAGGGTAAACAGGGTTAATCACTTCCAAGGGTGTAGAATAGCTGTTTCCTCTCCAAAGAAGACTCATTAGAATTTAGTAGTTCAATATTGCTAGGTTCACAAGCATCTTACCATATGTCTGCCTCCCATTTTTCAGGATTCCATTCCTTCCCAATCAATGCCCTCATTTTAATTTGTGTAATTGAGTCACTCACTGAATGAAACTCTGTGTTTATTTCAAACAATTTTGGCTTTATGGCTGTGGAAAAAAAGGGTTTCTTTCAGCTCAGAGATAGAAATGTCTAGGCCACTTATGTAGCATGCAAAATGGGAATTTTAATACATAAGCTTATCTTTTTTTAACCTCTCTATCAAGCAAAATTAGGAGCAGACAATTTCATTATACTCATTATGACAGAAAAGTTCTATGGTAATTAAATACATGGCCAACCATAACTTTGCCTCTTTTAAGTATTTCATCAGGAGTATCCTTTAGTGATATTTTGTATATCTCTATTGCCACATCATATCATGGAATATTAATAATCTCTAAATTTGGAAATATAGTCATTAGTGTTTTAAATCAAATAAGCATAGAGAACCAATTCCAGAAGCCACAAAACAAAGTCATCAAACTCATTAAGATTCTGTTCCGCTAAATCTATAAAGAACTTAAATAATTCAACAGTCCAGAAATCAAATAACTGCATTAAAAAGTTGGCAAAAGACATGAACAGACACTTCTGAAAAGATACAAGCAGCCAACAAATAAGAAAAAAATGTCCAAAATAGCTAATCATCAGAGAAACGCAAATCAAAATTAAAATGAGATACCAGCTAACACTATTCAGAATGGCTATCATTAAAAAGTCAGAAAACGAGAGATCCTACTGAGGCTACAGAGAAAAGGGAATGCCTATAAGGTGTTGGTGGGAATGTAAATTAGGTCAGCCACTGTAGAAGGCAGTTTGAAGATTTTTCAAAGAACTTCAAATAGAATTACCATTTGACTCAGCAATCCAATTACTGGATACATATATCCAAAAGAAAATAAATCATTCTACCAAATCGTCACAATAGCAAAGACATGGAATCAACCTAGGTGCCCATCAATGGTGGATTGAATAAACAAAATATTGTGCATATACACCACTGAATATTATGCAGCCACAAAAGAAACCTAAAATCATGTCCTTTGCATCAACATGGATGCAGCTAAAGGCCATTATCTCAAGCAAATTAACACAGAAACAGAAAACAAAATATAGCATGTTCTCACTTATAAGTGGGAGCTAAATATTGGATACTGATGACATAAACATGGCAACAATAGATAGAGGTCAGGAGTTCGTGACCAGCCTGACCAACATGGTGAAACCCCAACTCTACTAAAAATACAAAAATTAGCTGGGCGTGGTGGTGGGCACCTATAATCCCAGCTACTCAGGAGGCTGAGGCAGGAGAATTGTTTGAACCCAGGAGATGGAGGTTGCAGTGAGCCAAGGTCGTGCCATATGCATATGGCATATTCTTCAAGATAGACTATATGATAGGCCACAAAACAATTCTCAATAAATTTAAAAAACCAAAATCACATTAAGTATTTTCTCAGACCACAGTGGAATAAAACTAGAAATAACTCTAAAGGGATCCCTCAAAACTATACAAATACATGAAAATTAAATAAATCTGATCCTGAATGATTTCTGGGTTAACAATAAAATCAAGATGGAAATTTTAAAATTCTTTGAATTGAATGATAATAGTATAACAAGTTATCAAAACTTCCAAGATACAGCAAAAGTAGTGGTATGAGAAAAGTTTATAGCACTAATGCCTACATCAAAAAGTCTGAAAGAGCACAAATTGACAAGCTAATGTCAATCTTCAAGGAAATGGAAAAACAAGAACAAACTAAACCAAAAGCTAGTAAAAGAAAAAAAAATAAGGATAAGAGCAGAACTAAATGAAATTAAAACAAGCAAAAAAAAAAAAATGAGAGATCAATGAAACCAAAAGCTAGTTTCTTGAAAAAACAAATAAAATTAATAGACCATGATCTAGATTATTCAAGAAAAGAAGAGAGAAGATCTCAATAAGCTCAATTAGAAATGAAACTGGAGACATTACATCCTACACCACAAAAATAGAAAAGGTGGTTTCAGACTACAATAAACACTTTTATGCACACAAACTTGAATACCTAGAGTAAATGGACAAATTCCTGTAAACATACAAGCATCCTACATTACATAAGGAAGAAATAGAAACCTTGAACAGGCCAATAACAAGCAGCAGAATTGAATCAGTAACTTAAAAATTGCAAACAAAGAAAAAGCCCAGGACCAAATTGATTCACAGATGAGTTCTACCAGATATTCAAAGAAGGACTGGCCCCAATCCTACTGACACTATTCCAACAGATTGAGAAAAGAAAGCATCCACCCTAAATCATTCTATGAAGCTAGTCTCACCCTGATACCAAAACCAGTATAGGACTCAACAAGAAAAGAAAACTACAGACCAATTTTCCTGATGAACATAGATGCAAAAATCTTCCACAAAATACTAGCTAACCAAATCCAACAGCACATCAAAAAGATAATTTATCATGAACAAGTGGGCTGCATCCCAGGATACAGGAAAGTTTTAGCATATGCAAGTCAATGAATATAACACATTACATAAAAATTTAAAACAAAACTATGTGATCATCTCAATAGATGCAGCAAAAGCATTTGACAAAATCTAGCATCTGTGTATAATAAAAACGCTCTACAAACTAAGCATAGAAGGAACCTGCGTCAAAACAGTAAAAATCATGTATGGCAGACCCACAGCCAACATCATACTGAATGGGGAAATGTTTAAAGCATTCCCCCTGATAACTGGAACAAGACAAGGATGTCCACTTTCACCACTCTTGTACAACATAGTTCTGGACATACTAGCCAGAGCAATTAGGCAAGAGAAAGAAATAAAGACCATCCAAATTGGAAAAGAGGAAGTCAAACTCTCACTTTTTTAAGATAATATGATTGTATTCCTAGAAAATCCTAGACTCCTCCAAAAGACTCTTGTATTTGATAAGTGAATTTAGTAAAGTTTTGTGTTACAAAATCAATGTACATAAATCAGTTGCACTGCTATACACCAACAATGGCCAAGCTGAGAATCAAATCAAGAACTCAATGCCTTTTACAACATCTGCAAATAAATAAAATATTTAGGAATTACTTAATCAGTGAGGTGAAATCTCTCTACAAGGAGAACTACGCAATAGTGCTGAAAGAAATCATAGATGACACAAACAAATGGAAACCCATGCTCATGGATGGGAAGACTCAATATTGTGAAAATGACCATACTGTTCAAAGCAATCAACATATTCAATGGCATTCCCATCAGAATATCAAATTGAAAAGATTCTGCACAGCAAAAGAATTAATCAGCAGAGTAAACAGACAACCCGCAGGATGGAGAAAATATTTGCAAACTATGCATCTGACAAAGGGCTAGTATCCAGGATCTACTAGGAACTCAAACAAAGTAACAAGAAAATAAATAGATGTTTCTCAAAAGAAGATATACAAATAGCTAACAAACATATGAAAAAATGCTCAACATCACTAATCATCAGTGAAATGCAAATTAAATCCACAATGAGTTACCACCTTACTCCTGCAGGAATGGCCATCATTCAAAAGTGAAAAAACAATAGATGTTTTTGAGGATACGGGGAAAATGGAATGCTTAAAGGCTGCTGGTGGGAATGTAAATTAGTAAAACCTCTATGGAGAACAGTAGAGATATTCTCTAAAGAGCCAACACTGGATCTACCATTTGATACAGCAATCCCACTAAAGGGTATCTACCTAAAGGAAAAGACTATTATTTCAAAAATACACCTGCACACGTATATTTATAGTAGCACAATTCACAATTCCAAAGATATGGAACCAGCCTAACTGCCCATTGACTAATGAGTAGATAAAGAAAATGTGGTATATATATATATACCATGGAATAATACTCAGCCATAAAAAATGAAATAAAGTATTTTGCAAACTTGGATGAAGCTGGAGACAATTTTTCTAAGTGAAGTAACTCAGGAATAGAATACCAAGTACCATATGTTCTCACTTATAAGTGAGAGCTAAGCTATGAGTACACAAAGGCATAGAGAGTGATATAATGGCCTTTAGAGACTCAGAAAGGGGAGGTTGGGAGAGCGGCTAGGGATAAAAATAATACACATTAGGTACAATGTACACTGCTTGAGCGATTGGTGCACTAAAATCTCAGAGTTCACCACTATATAATTTGTCCATGGAACAACAACAACAACAACAAAAACCCTTGTTCCCCAAAAGCTATTGAAATAAAAATTGAAATTAAAAAAATCCCCAAAAGAAGACATACGAATGTCAAACAGGTATATAAAAAGATGTTCAGCATAACTGATAATCAGTGAAATGCACATTAAAAACTACAAAGGCAATAACAATATGCTGGGAGGATGTAGGGAAAAGGGAACCCTTGTACCTTGTTGGTGGGAGTGTAAATTAGTACAACTGGAAAACAGTTTGGAGGTTCCTCAAAAAACTAAAATTAGGCAAATTAATAACCCTACAATGGCCTTCACGTGCTCAAGTAAAAGAACGAGTCACACGTATTTCACATTAAATTCAAGGCTAGAATGACTAAGTTACTGAGGAAGAAGTGTCAAAAGCTGAGATAGGCTCAATCCAGGCATTTTGCACCAATCAGCCAAGTTTTAATGCAAAGGAAAATTTATTGAAGGAAATTAAAAGTGCTACTTCAGTGAACACATGAATAATAAAAAAGCCAAACAGCCTTATTCCTGATATGGAGGAAGTTTTAGTAGTCTAGATCAAAGATCAATGCAGCCATAACATTCCCTTAAACCAAAGCCTAGTCCAGAGCAGGGCCCTACCTCTTTTCAATTCTATGAAGGCTAACAAAGGTGTAAAAGCTACAAAAGATAAATTTGAATCTAGCAAAGGTTGGTTCATGAGGTCTAAGGAAATAAGCCACCTTCATAACATCAAAGTGCAAGGTGAAGTAGCAAGCACAGTTGTAGAAACTGCAGCAAGTAATCCAGAAGATCTCTCTAGCTGAGATAATTGATGAAGATGGCTATACTAAACAACAGATTTTCTTTTCATTATTTTTTTATTTTATTTTATTTTATTTTTTTGAAACGGAGTCTGGCTCTGTTGCCAGGCTGGAGTGCAGTAGCGTGATCTTGACTTACTGCAAGCTCCGCCTCCCAGGTTCAAGCAATTCTCCTGCCTCAGCCTCCCGAGTAGCTGGAATTACAGGCACACGCCACCACGCCCAGCTAATTTTTGTATTTTTAGTAGAGACAGGGTTTCACCATGTTGGCCAGGATGATCTGGATCTCTTCACCTCGTGATCCACCTGCCTCAGCCTCCTGAAGTGCTGGGATTACAGGCGTGGACCACCGCTCCTGGCCAACAACAGATTTTCAATGTAGATGAAACAGCCTTATATTGGAAAAATATGTTATTTATAACTTCTATAGCAAGAGAGGAGAAGTCAATGCCTGGGTTTAAAGCTTCAAAGGATAAGTTAACTCTCTCATTAGGCGCTAATGTATAATAGCTGATGACTTGAAGATGAAGCCAATGCTCACTTACCATTCCAAGAATCCTGGGGTCCTTAAGAATTATGCTAACTCTACACTGCCTATGCTCTATAAATGGAACAACAAAGCTTAGATGGCAACACATCTGTTTACAGCCTGTTTTACTTAATATTTTAAGTTTGCTTTTGTGACCTACTGCTCAGAAAAAGCATTTGTTTTCAAAACATTAATGCTCTTTGACAATGCACATGGTTCCTTAGGAGATGTAAAAGATTAATATTATTTTTATGCTTGCTAACACAACATCCATTCAGCAGCCCAAGGAATAATGAGAATTTTGACTTTAAAGTCTCATTGCTTAAGAAATATATTTCGTAAGCCTATAGCTGCCATACATAGTCATTTCTTTGATGGATCTGGACAAAGTAAATTAAAAACCTTCTTGAAAGGATTCATTATTCTACATGCCATTAAGAATATCTGTGATTCATGAGAGGATGTGAAAATATCAACATTAATAGGAGTTTGGAAGAAGTTGATTCTCATCCTCATGGATGACTTTTAGGGAATCAAGACTTTAGTAGAGGAAGACATTAAGATGTGGTGGAAGTAGCAGGAGAACTAGAATTAGAAATTGAGCCTTAAGATGTGACTGAATTGCTTTATTTCATAATAAAACTTGAACAAATGAGGAATTTCTTCTTGTATGGATGAGGGAAGGAAATGGTTTTTGAGATGGAGTCTACTTCTGGTGAAGGTGCTATGAACATTGTTGAAATAGCAACAAAGAATTTGGTATATTACATCAACTTAGATGATAAAGCAGCAGCAGGGTTTGAGAGGATTGAATTCAATTTGGAAAGTTCTACCATGGAGACAATAGTGTCAAACAACATCTCATGCTACAGAGAAATATTTCATGAAAGAAAGAGTGAATCAAAGCAGAAAACTTCATTTTCATCTTATTTTAAAAAATTACTATAGGCACGCCAGCCTTTAGCAACCACCACTCTGATTAGTCAGCAGCCATCAACATTGAGGAAAGACCCTCAATCAATAAAGAGGTTATGACTTGCAGAATCTTAGATGATTATTATTTTAGCAGTAAAGTACTCTTAAATTAAGGTATGTATATTGTTTTATAGACATAGCACTACTATACATTTAATAGCCTATAGGTGTAAACAGGTGTAAACAAAACTTTTATATGCACTGGGAAATCAAATTATTCATGTGACTCTCTTTATTGGGAGATTCACTTTATTGCATTGGTACAGAACTTAACCAAGAATATCTCTAAGGTATGCCTGTATTTGACCAGAAAACTGGATGCTCTCACATAGCCAAGTTGATACATAAAATTAATCAACACAGTGATATTTACCTTGTTATCTTGTGTGCTATTTTTGATGATCTATGGAGTTCTTTGACAAGATAGTTATTCTATAGAAAACTTAATGGAAAATGCTGGAGTCTGGAATCAGACAAATTTTGATAATAATCTATTTCCTATATATGTGCCTTTAGTGAGTTCCTTATCCTCTCTGAGCCTCATTTTTCTTTCATTTGACAAATGAGGATATGACAGCATCAACCACATATAATTGTTATGATAACTTCATGAAATAATACATTGCACGTTGTAAATGTTTTATGAGTTTAGATATAATTCTATATTGGCAGATACTAGTACCCGATCACCAAAATCTATTATTTTCTAGGAAGCCAATTTTTCTTTAGGAGGATGACATAGCAAGCTAATATTTACCAGACTCCCTTACAACAAGTTCTGTCCTGTAATTAATTTTCACCAATTGAATGTAAATGGAAGTGGTCTATTGGGCCAAGGCCTTTAAGTGGGTATTCCTTTTCTACGCTCTTTTTCCATTTTCTAACTGATGCAGACAACAATGAGGCCTTGGAAGGGGGAGACAATTCTCCATGAGTCTGATATTCTGCATGTCTTGTGAATGAGCACTGTTTGGCGTTTGTTCCGAACCATCTTTTCAAGGATATCTGTATACTTAACAAGCTTGGACCATATAGATTCCTCCCACAGAGTTGAGAGCAGACGTGCTCACTATCCAGTACAACAAAGATTGTATCTCTCTCCTTAGTAAAATTAGGCAAGCTAACACTTACTATAAAATATTTTCCTAATCTCAGGCTTTCTTTCCTGCAACTCAACTCACTGTATGTGCAGGCATCAACTGCCCTTCTTTGTGCCACCTTGTGAAATATGGTGCTCAGGAAATCAGTGCAAAAATGCTGGTACTTTGGTTACTGCTATGACTACATTTTTTCTGACCCAAGAGTCTTGCATCTTCTGCCAACATTCATGAAACTGTAGTAGGCTAACTTGTTAGCTTGCAAGTCAGGTAAAATTTCAGACCTGGGTGGGAGGATGGAGAGGATCAGAAAAACATACTTATAAGGTACTATGCTTATTATCTGGGTGATGAAATAATCTGAATACCAAGCCCCCATGACGTGAGTTTACATATATAACAAACCTGCACATGTACCTCTGAAACTAAAATAAAAGGGGAATAAATAAGCTCAGACTCATCACAGTACTTTACATTTAGGGAATGGATAGAGCTAAAAGATGGAAGGAACATTGATCCTTGAATCAACACATACAGGGGATATGCCTGATTACCAGGAAAACCCATCGGATATGAGTGAGAAATAAGCTTACATTGTGTTTTAGCCATTATGATTTGGGGATTTATTTGGTATAATACATAGGCTATTCTAAATGCTACACCATTTAATTTTCAAAAAATTCTAGACATGTGTCACTACTGTTCATTCTTTTTTTTATATTCTTTTTTTATTATACTTTAAGTTTTAGGGTACATATGCACAACGTGCAGGTTAGTTACATGTGTATACATGTGCCATGTTAGTGTGCTGCACCCATTAACTCGTCATTTAACATTAGGTATATCTACTAATGCTATCCCTCCCCCCTCCCCACACCCCACAACAGGCCCCAATATGTGATGTTCCCCTTCCTGTGTCCATGTGTTCTCATTGTTCAATTCCCACCTATGAGTGAGAACATGTGGTGTTTGGTTTTTTGTGCTTGCGATAGTTTGCTGAGAATGATGGTTTCCAGCTTCATCCATGTCCCTACAAAAGACATGAACTCATCATTTTTATGGCTGCATAGTATTCCATGGTGTATATGTGCCACATTTTCTTAATCTAGTCTATCATTGTTGGACATTTGGGTTGGTTCCAAGTCTTTGCTATGGTGAATAGTGCCACAATAAACATACATGTGCATGTGTCTTTATAGCAGCATGATTTATAATCCTTTGAGTATATACCCAGTAATGGGATGGCTGGGTCAAATGGTATTTCTAGATCTAGATCCCTGAGGAATCACCACACTGACTTCCACAATGGTTGAACTAGTTTACAGTCCCACCAACAGTGTAAAAGTGTTCCTATTTCTCCACATCCTCTCCAGCACCTGTTGTTTCCTGACTTTTTAATGATTGCCATTCTAACTGGTGTGAGATGGTATCTCATTGTGGTTTTGATTTGCATTTCTCTGATGGCCAGTAATGATGAGCATTTTTTCATGTGTCTTTTGGCTGCATACATGTCTTCTTTTGAGAAATGTCTGTTCATATCCTTTGCCCACTTTTTGATGGGGTTGTTTTTTTCTCATAAATTTGTTGGGGTTCATTGTAGATTCTGGATATTAGCCCTTTGTCAGATGAGTAGATTGCAAAAATTTTCTCCCATTCTGTAGGTTGTCTGTTCACTCTGATGGTAGTTTCTTTTGCTGTGCAGAAGGTCTTTAGTTTAATTAGATCCCATTTGTCAATTTTGGCTTTTGTTGCCATTGCTTTTGGTGTTTTAGACATGAAGTCCTTGCCCATGCCTATGTCCTGAATGGTATTGCCTACGTTTTCTTCTAGGGTTTTTATGGTTTTATGTCTAACATTTAAGTCTTTAATCCATCTTGAATTAATTTTGTATAAGGTGTAAGGAAGGGATCCAGTTTCAGCTTTCTCCATATGGCTAGCCAGTTTTCCCAGCACCATTTATTAAATAGGGAATCATTTTCCCCATTGCTTGATTTTGTCAGGTTTGTCAAAGATCAGATAGTTGTAGATATGTGGCATTATTTCTGAGGGCTCTGTTCTGTCCCATTGGTCTATATCTCTGTTTTGGTACCACTACCATGCTGTTTTGGTTACTGTAGCCTCGTAGTATAGTTTGAAGTCAGTAAAATACTGGCAAACCGAATCTAGCAGCACATCAAAAAGCTTATCCACCATGATCAAGTGGGCTTCAACCCTGGGATGCAAGGCTGGTTCAACATACACAAATCAATAAACATAATACAGCATATAAATAGAACCAATGACAAAAACCATATGATTATCTCAATAGATGCAGAAAAGGCCTTTGACAAAATTCAACAACCTTCATGCTAAAAACTCTCAGTAAATTAGGTATTGACGGAATGTATCTCAAAATAATAAGAGCTATCTATGACAAACCTACACCCAATATCATACTGAATGGACAAAAACTGGAAGCATTCCCTTTGAAAACTGGCACAAGACAGGGATGCCCTCTCTCACCACTCCTATTCGACCTAGTGTTGGAAGTTCTGGCCAGGGCAGTCAGGCAGGAGAAAGAAATAGAGGGTATTCAATTAGGAAAAGTGGAAGTCAAATTGTCCCTGTTTGCAGATGACATAATTGTATAGCTAGAAAACCGCATCGTCTCAGCCCAAAATCTCCTTAAGCTGATAGGCAACTTCAGCAAAGTCTCAGGATACAAAATCAATGTGCAAAAATCACAAGCATTCTTATACACCAATAACAGACAAACAGAGAGCCAAATCATGAGTGAACTCCCATTCACAATTGCTTCAAAGAGAATAAAATACCTAGGAATCCAACTTACAAGGGACGTGAAGGACATCTTCAAGGAGAACTACAAACCACTGCTCAATGAAATAAAAGAGGATACAAACAAATGGAAGAACATTCCATGCTCATGGGTAGAAAGAATCAATATTGTGAAAATAGCCATACTGCCCAAGGTAATTTATAGATTCAATGCCATCCCCATCAAGCTACCAATGACTTCCTTCACAGAATTGGAAAAAAACTACTTTAAAGTTCATATGAAACTAAAAAAGAGTCTCCATTGCCAAGTCAATCCTATTGTCCATTCTTTCCAGTGCTCTAGTACTTAATTTTATTATTTGAGGTCATCAGATCACTTGTGTATAGGCCTCATCTGATATGGGCTATGAGGGAAATCTCTCAATAATACATATGAGTGAGAAAAAATACAGTTACCAATATATTGAGTTTTTTTCTATTTAAAAATGATTATTAATTTTGGGTAATGGAACAATTTGTGCAGATAGAACTATAATTAAAAATAAAATATTACAGTTAAAATTCTCTTAGAGACCATTTAGTGAATACTACTAATTTTAGAAAGGGAGAGGCAATGTTTTTCACAAAGGTACTAGTTAATATTATAGTAATATTATAATCCATGACTAATAACTCCTAGCTTACTGTTCTTTCTATAATATTCTCTAGTACCAGTGACCTGTGGCATGGGATTTCACAACTACTAACCAGGTAGAGTCATTTGTAACATTTTTTCCCTCAGTTGTGTAAAATTCCCATGCCCCAAATATGACAGTAAAATATTAGTAGCAGTAATTTAAAATATATCTGCCTAGATATTTGTGACACTATATACTAAGGTATTTAAAAAATCTACAGTTTATGAGTAGACACAGAAGTATAATATGGTCTTTGCCACTAAGAATCTTATATTCTAGCTGAATAGACTTTGATAAATATGTCAAAGTTGAATGATACTATAGAGTATGTGATTAAAAGCTAAATTATGCTGTTAAAAATTACAGATGATCTATGGATGGCTGGAGTGGTCAGGGAAGGCTTCAGTGAAGTGGAATTTAAAACAGAACTTAAAGGACAGGAATTCTTTTATGTGAGCACAGAAAAGTGCAGGTATTTTCGTTGAGAGATAACATACAAAATGAGGTTAAAGTCATGGAGAAAAAAGCATGGGATTTTCTTGGTATAATAGAAAAAAAATTTCATTTTGCTAACAGGGTAGGGTATATGGTTCACCATTAACAATGAGATAAGATACTATTTTCTGTAATAGTGTTATCATTTCTCCCTCAATCCTCATTTCACTCCTATCTTTCTTTTCTCCTTTTTCTCTCTTCCTATCTCTTGTTCTGCACGCCCACCTCTATTTAATATTGATTTTTTAATTTCTCTCATACTAAAATAAAATTTTTAAAATTTCCTCAAGTACCTCTGATCCCTTTTACAATATAATACCTAAAAAGAGGAGTCTGATCTCTCTAAATCCTGTCTTCCCATTATTCCTTAAAGATACTCTATTTAGATTTTGTCCTCACCATTATACAAAAAAAAAATTTGTAAAAAATCATCAATGACCTCCGCATTTCAAAATCCAGTGCTCAAGGCTTCTTCTTGATGAATTAAGCAGCAGGTGACCCAGCATATAACTCCCTACACATTGAAGCAGTTTATTTGACTTCAAGGACACTTCTCTCCTGGTTTCTCTCCTCCTACCTCATTGGTTGCTTCTTTTCAGTTTGCAATTAGTTTTTCCTCGTTTTCCATACATCTGCAAACTGAGAGTCTACAATATTTAGTTCTTCTAGGTCTTTTCTTTTCTATCTCTTCTCACTTCCCTGAAGATTTTATCAATGTTAATGGCTTTAAGTATCATCCACATGCTGAAAACTTCAAAATTTATTTTTCCAGCCCACACTTCTCTCCCAAACTCCAGACCAATATATCCAGCTGCCTACCCCACATGGATGTTTAATAGCAATTTCCAACTTAACAGGTCAAAAACTGATTATCTGATCTTTTTCCTTAATCCTGTCTTTTACGAAGTTATTCACATTTAATTAAGAAGGCTATTGTTTCAGTTCCTCATTTATAAGTCCTCTTTTGCTCATAACCTTCATTCAAACAATTAGAAAAATGTTTTGGCTTTGCCTAAAAATGCATCCAGAAACTCATTATTTTTCACCAACTCTACTGCTAACACCCTAGTACAAGCCACTACTATCTCTCACCTAGATTACTACAACAGTCTCTTAACTGGTCTCTGTGTTTTCACTTGCCTTCTTACAGTCTATTTGCAAACAAGCAGGCAATGAACTTGTTAAAAGAAGCATCAAATAACATTACCACTCTTATCAAAGCTCTCTCTTGATTTCACAGCACAAGCCACTTTCTGTTTTTCACACACAGAAAGCATGCTTCTGCCTCAGCACCTTTGACAGTGTTACTCATCTGCCTGGAATGTTCTTCCTTCATACATCTGTGAGGTTTGTGTCCTCATTGCCTTCAGCTCTTTGGTGAAATTCCACTTTCTTAGTGAAATGTTCCCTTAAAGTAACCCTATTTAAAATCGCAAATCCCTCTCTCCAGTACTCCTAATACCATTTTGCTTTTTAATTTTCCCCACAGTCTCTATCACCCTGTGACATTTTATGTTTTATCTATGTATTTTATTATTTTATATCTTCCTTCATTACAATGTAAGATTTATAAAGGTAGGATTTTTTATATTTTGTGTATTGCTATATCCTCAGTACCTAAAACAGTACTGGATACAGGTAGATCCTCAATAAATATTTGATGAATAAATACATGAATGAATGAATATCCCTGTCTCTTTTATCTCTGATCTACAATAGTGCATGAGAAAATCCTTAAAATTTTTTTCCAGACAAATAAATTTTCTAAATTAGTTATTTACTTTGTAATACATTTAGTATGCCTTTGGAGCTCATCATTTTTTATTGTAGAAAGCACTTTACACAATAAATATTAATGAATACTATAGTTATTTTCTCTTCTAACCTTGACCCCTGAAGCAGCTGCATTGTCTGGAATATTACCTGAGGTTCTTTGCCTCATGGCCACGGAAATTAAGGATATAGACACATAAAGGGCAAGGTTAGAGTAGAAGGTTAACAGGAGAAAGGAAAAGAACAGCTCTCTGTCACAGAGAGGGGTTCCAAATTGGTTGCCATGCTGCAGTGAAATGTGAGGGTTTTTATAAATGAGCTAGTAGGGAGTAGATATCTCATTTACATAGGGCGCAGAAAACCAGTTAGGACCAGGTGTGCCATTTGCATAGAGCAGAATCTCTGGCAGCCCCCACCTGACTTCTCTATTATACAGGTGGGCTCTTAGCTTGGGCTACTCCACACTGTTTATCTCCTTCCACCGTGCATGTGCAAAAAAGGGAAGGAGAAGTTTCTGTGCCAGATTCCAGGTACCTCCATGCAGCTTCAGGCATCCCCCTCCCCAGCCCCGTGCAAGCTTCCAACGTCCCTATCTTAGTGTGCCCCAAAATGGAAAAGGAATGTGCTCATTAATGCCCACTGTTTTTACTGGGGCCCATCGTATGCATGTGAAGTTTGGTGATTACCTAGGAAACCCTCCCTCTGTGCCAGAGTTGCTTATTTATGCTTTACCGACTGATCTTCCAGACTGCTCTTTATTAGAAGAGAAGTGATTTCTTTGAACTGCATGTGGTTAGAAAGGAAGAAATTTTTGAGCTGCTTTTAGTTAGGAGGAAAGTTTTTGCTGAGGACTCTTTCACCCCATCTACCTAAGTAATTTATTCCTATCTCCTGTATCACCCCACCTCATGCTCCTCACGTGGCTTTTTTTCTGATTAGTTTAATCTTGAAGTAAAAGATGGGACAGAGTAATGTTCTTTTTCATAGCCTATATGTTACACCAGCATAACAAAGTTCACTCTCATAGGACATTTTTTCATTGAATCTAGAGATAAAGTAACACTAACAAATAAGTTACTTGCTACTTTGGTAGCAAAAACATATTTTAGATGACTTCTGCTTATAAAATCATCCTTGAAGATAATTTGTTAATATTAAAGAATAAATATTATTGAGAAATACCAGTTTTGAAAGAACGTTGTATTACTTTTTTATTAATCGTATATCAACTGTAGCATCAATTGATAGGGCCAGGGGTTTAACTTTTCTAATTTAAAAATTAACCATATTTGCTATATCTGATGACTGTCAGTTTTTATAATTTAACTAAACTATTACCACAGTGTTTCATTTTAGTAGTGTTTCTATTTGAAAATGAATTATTTTGCTTAGAACAATGAAAGGAATTAGTAATTTCCAAGTCTGAAAAGCAGATGCAAAGTTACCCGAAAGAAGAGCATTACAGCCATAGGTATATGATGTACAGTCTTTGGTGGATAATTTTGCCCTACTTCTGGGAATCTCTCTATACCCCTTAGTAGTCACCTATTTCAGGATGAGGGAATTATCTTCGTGAGTAGTGAGTAAACTCCTTACTTTATGGGAGAGCATATTTTAAGTTCTTATATTCCATTGGCCTCTAAGAGTGATAAATATTTTTTCTTACATGTCTCTCTTAATACATGGAGCTAAAATAGGTATCCATTGATTGTAATTGCTATATCAAAAATAATTATTACAGAAATATTAATTGAGCTTTTATTACTTTTCAAGCACTGTGCTAAACACTTTACAAATAATATCACATTTAATAGTACATTTTACACGTGTAAAAATGGAAGGTTAAGAGATTACATTTTCCAAGGTCATGGCTAGCAAGTTCTGACTGTAGAGTTTGAATGAGTAATCACTACACAATACTGCTTGATAACAATAGGAATAAAAGTGTCCTCTTTTTCTCTTTCAGAGAGTCTCATAAGAAATTTAAGTATCATTCAGTAGATGAAATCTATGCATTGGCTAGTGTAAAAATTATTTGTATCTAATAAATAGACTTTTCTTACCAAGGGTAATTACTATTCAGTGCATCTTGGGGTTATTTTCTCTGGGCTGTTTGTTTTAATGCACCTCATGTTGCTTTCTATTGGTTGTTTATTCATTTTCTACATTAAAGTGAAACTGATTATTATGTAAATATTCAAATGCCCAAAATACTAATGAATAAATCAGACAGTCTTATTAATGGTTTTCTACTACAGATGGTTTCTAATTTTAGGCAGCATAAGTGCATTACAAGACTGAGGTTGAATTTGAAACTTTTTTTTTACATTTTTTAGATTTTTATTTCAATAGTTTTTGAGGTACAGATGGTTTTTGTTACATGGATAAATTATTTAGTGGTGATTTCTGAAATGTTGGTGCACCTGTCACTCGAGCAGTGTACACTGTACCCAATATGTAGTCTTTTATCCCTCACTGCACTCCAACCCTTCCCCCTCGAGTCACCAAAGTTCATAATATTATTCTTATACATTTCCATTCTCATAGCTTAGCTCCCACTTAAAAGTGAGAACATACGATATTTGAATTTTCATTTCTGAGTTACTTCACTTAGAATAATGGCCTCCAGCTCCAGTGAAGTTGCTGCAAAAGACATTATTTTATTCCTTTTTATGGCTGAGTAGTATTCCATGATGTATATATACCACATTTTCTTTATCCACTCATTGAATGATGAGCACTCAGGTTGATTTTATATCTTTGCATTTGTGAATTGTGATGCTATAAACACTGTGTGCATGTGTCTTTTTTACATAATGACTTATTTTCCTTTGGGTAGGTACCTAGTAGTAGGATTGCTGAATCAAATGGTAGTTTTACTTTACGTTTTAAAGAACTAAATCTTCATACTATTTTCAGTAGTGGTTGTACCAATTTACATTCCCACCAGCAGTGTACAAGTGTTACGTTTTCACCACTTTCATGACAATGTATATTATGTTTTTACTTTTTAATTAGGGCCATTCTTGCAGGAGTAAGGGGCTATTTCATTGTGGTTTTATTTTGCATTTCCCTGATAATTCGTGATGTTGAGCATTTTTTCATGTGTTTGTCTGCTGTTTGTATATTTTCTTTGGAGAATTGTCTCTTCATGTCCTCTATCCACTTTTTGATAGGATTATTTGTTTTCTCCTTGCTGGTTGCTTGAGTTCCTTGTAGATTCTGGATATTAGTCTTTTGTTGGATGCATAGTTTGTGAATTTTTTTTCACTCTATGAGATGACTGTTTACTCTGCTAATTATTAATTTAACTGTGCAGACGCATTTTAGTTTACTTAGGTCCCATTTATCTATCTTTGTTTTTGTTGCATTTGCTTTTGGGGTCTTAGCCATGAATCTTTGCCTAAGCCAATGCCAAGAAGAGTTTTTCCAATGTTATCTTCTAGAATATTTAAGGTATCAGGTACTAAATTTAATTATTGGATCCACCTTGTATTGATTTTTGTATAAGGTGAGAGATGAGAATCCAGTTTTATTCTTCTACATGTGGCTTGCCAGTTTTCCCAGCATTATTTATTGAATAGGGTGTCCTTCCCCTAATTTACGTTTTTGTATGCCTTGTCAAAGGTCAGTTGGCGGTAAGTATTTTGCTTTATTTCTGGGTTCTCTATTCTGTTCCATTGGTCTATGTGCCTATTTTTATACCAATATCATGCTGTTTTGTAAATATAGCATTGTAGTATAATTTGAAGTCAGGTAATGTCATGCCTGAAGATTTGTTCTTTTTGCTTAGTGTTGCTTTGGCAATGCAGGCTCTTTTTTGGTTCTGTATGAATTTTTAATTTTTTTCTATTTCTGTAAAGAATGCTGATGGTATTTTGATAGGAATTGCATTGAATCTATAGATTGCGTTGGACAGTATGGTCATTTTCACAATATTGATTCTACCCATCCATGAGCATGGCATGTGTTTCCATTTGTGTCAACTATGATTTCTGCCAGCAGTGTTTTGAAGATTTTCTTGTAGAGATCTTTCATCTCCTTGGTGAAATATTCCTAAATATATTTTTTGAAGCTGTTGTAAAAGTGACTGAGTTATTTATTTGATTCTCAGTTTGGTCATTGTTGGTGTATAGCAATGCCATTAATTTGTGTACATTGATTTTGTATCCTGAAACTTTGCTGAATTCATCTATCAGTTCTAGGAGTGTTTTGGATGAGTCTTTAGGGTTTTCTAGGTATACAATCGTATCATTGGTGAACAGTGACAGTTTGACTTCCTTTTTTTTCAATTTGAATGCCCATTTTTTTTTTTTTTCTTTTTTTGCCTGTCTGATTCCTCTGACCAAAAAGTCCAGTACTGTGTTGAGTAGAAGTGCTAAAAGTGGGCATCCTTGTATTGTTCCAGATCCAGGGGAAATGTTTCAACTTTTTCCTATTCAGTATGATGTTGGCTGTGGGTTTGTCACATATGACTTTTATTACTTTGCAGTAAGTCTGTTTTTTGACGATTTTGTTTAGTATTTTTATCATAAAAGGATGCTGGATTTTGTCAAATGAATTTTCTGCATCTATTGAGATGATCATATGCTTTTTAATTATATTTACGTGATGTATCACATTTATTGACTTGCATATGTTAAACCATCCCTGCATATCTGGTATGAAACTCATTTAATCATGATGTATTTTCTTTATGTTATGTATGCTGTTGCATTTGGTTAGCTCGTATTTTGTTAAGGATTTTTGCATCTATGTTCATCAAGAATATTGGTCTGTAGTTTTCTTTCTTTGTTATCTTCTTCCCTGGTATTAGGGTGATACTGGCTTCATAGAATGATTTAGAGAGAATTTTCTTTTTCTCAATCTTTTAGAATATTTTCAGTAGGAATAACATAAATTTTTCTCTGAATGTCTGAAGAATTCAGCTGTGAATCTATTTCTGGGCTTTTCTTTTATGTTTGAAATTGTTTTATTACTGATTTAATCTCACTGCTGGTTATTGCTGTTTAGGATTTATATTGCTTCCCGATTTAACAAGGAGAATTGTACATTTCCAGGAATTTATTCATCTCGTCTAGATTTCTAGTTTGTTAGCATAAAGGTGTTCATAGTAGCCTTGAATAATTTTGTGTATTTCTGTGGTAATGGGTGTAATATCCTCCATTTCATTTGTAATTGAGCTTATCTGGAACTTCTCTCTTATTTTCTTGGTTAATCTGGATAATGGTCTATCAATTTTGTTTATCATTTCCAAGAACTAGCTTTTTGTTTCATTTAACTTTTGTATTGTGTTTTTTGTTTCAATTCCATTTAGTTCTGCTCTGATCTTTGTTATTTGTTTTCCTCTCCTGGGTTTGGGTTTAGTTTGTTCTTTTTTCTCTAGGGCTTTGAGGTGTGACATTAGGTTGTCTATTTTTGCTATTTCTGTCTTTTTGATGCAGCCATTTAATGCTATGAACATTCATCTTAGTGCCACTATGGTTGTATCCCAGTAGTTTTGATAAGTTTTGTCACTATTATAGTTTAATTCAAAGAAGTTTTCAATTTCTATCTTGATTTCATTGTTAACCCCAAAGTCAGTATAGAGCAGATTATTTAATTTCCATGTATTTGTATAATTTTGAGGGTTCCTTTTGGAGTTGATTTCCAATTTTATTCCACTATGGTCTGAGAAAGTAGTTGATAGGATTTTTATTTTCTTAAATTTATTGAGACTTGTTTTATGGTCTATCATATGGTCTATTTGGGCAACATTCAATGTTCTGCTGAGAAGAATGTGTATTCTGCAGTTTGGGGGAAGAATGTTCTGTAAATATCTGTTAAGTCCATTTGTTCTAAGGTTTAGTTTAAGTCCATTTTCGCTTTGCTGACTTTCTGTCTTGAAGATCTGTCTAGTGCTGTCAATGGAGTATTGGTCACCCACTATTATTGTGTTGCCCTCTATCTCATTTCTAAGCCCCAAAATCATCTCCTTTGACTCCATATTCCATATCCAGTAATTGTTTTATAAATTTGAGAGTTGCAGTGTTAGGTGCCTATGAATTCAGAATTGTAATTTCTTCTTGTTGGACTAATCCTTTTATTATTATACAATGCCCTCCCTTGTCTTTTTTTTACTTTTGCTGCCTTAAAGTCTGTTTTGTCTGATATAAGAATAGCTACTCCTGCTCCCTTTTGGTTTGAATTTGTTTGCAATATCTTTTTTAGCTCCTATACCTTCAGTTCATATGAGTACTTATGTGTTACGTGAGTCTCTTGAAGACAACATATATCTGATTGGTAGTTTTTTTATCCATTCTGCCATTCTGTATCCTCAAGTAAAGCATTTAGGACACTTACATTCTACGTTAATATTGACATGTGAGGTACTATAAAACATTATTAGAGAATAAAGTGAAATGAGTATTGTGTTCCTTTGTCTGTTGCTTAAACATTATGCCTCTCTGATTTGATTACCCAAAAAATAAAATGCAAAGTTCTACTTTGATCACAAGTTTTCTTAGTATATTTTTTCACAAATAAGGATAGTCTAATATTTCTGTAATTCCCATAAACTATTTTAAGCAGAAGTTCTTGGGACTCATGCTTACCTTCTTAGATTTTTTTGTCTCCTCAGGTCACCCTAAATTTTCAACGTTTCTGTGCTTGTATGTTATGAACTACCGATGAATGGTAGATAAGATCTTATTTGAAAAAAAAACTATAGACATTTAGTGTTTAAAGTACCATAAGTATTGTGTCCAAAGTTATTTGTGTTTATTTGAAATATTTGAAAGAATAACACAAATATTATATAAGCTCATATTGGCTTTTTACTTAAGTCTCTTGTATTAGTTCTTGCACTGGTACAAAGAAATACTGTAAACTGGGTATTGTATAAAGAAAAGAGTTAATTGAATCACAGTTCTGGAGGCCATAAAGAAAGCATGGCTGGGGAGGCCTCAGGAAACTTTCAAATATGACAGAAGCAGAAGCAGGCATGTCTTACCTGCCCAGAGCAGGAGAAAGAGAGAGAAGTGGGAGGTGCTGCATCCTTTTAAGCAACCAGATCTCATAAGAACTCACTGTCAAAATAACAGCAAGAAGGAAATACACCCTCATGATCCAATCAACTCCTACCAAGCCCATCCTCTAACATTGGGGATTACAATTCAACATGACATTTGGGTGGGAATACAAATGGAAACCATATCATTCCAACCCTGGCTCCTCCTAAATCTCATGTCCTTCTCCCATTACAAAATACAATCATTCATTTTCAATACTTCCCCAAGTCTTAATTCATTTCAGCATAAACTCAAAAATCCACAGTCCAAAGTCTCATCTGAGGCAGGCAAGTTTCTTCCCCCTATGAGCTTGTAAAATAAGCTAATTATTTCCATGATACAATGAGAGTACAGGCATTGAGTAAATACTCCTGTTCCAAAAGGGAGAATTTGGCCAAAAGAAAGGGGCTACATGCCCCATGCAAGACCAAAACCCAGCAGGATAGTCATTAAATCTTAAAGCTCCAAAATAATCTATTGACTCCATGTCTCATATCCAGGCCACCCTGATGCAAAGCTGGATTTCCAAGGCCTTGGGCATCTCTGTTACTGTGGCTCTGCAGGACTTAGCTTCCACAGCTGATCTCAAGGGCTTGTGTTGAGTGCATGTAGCTTTTCCAGGCACACAGTGCAAGCTGACAGTGACTCTACCATTCCGTAGCCTGGAGGATAATGACTTTCTTCTTACAGCTCCACCAGGCATTGCCCCAATGTGGACTCTGTGTGGGAGCTACAACCCCACATTTCCCTTCCACACTGCCCTAGTAGAGGTTGTCCATGAGGGCTTGACCTCAGCAGCAGACTTCTGCTTTGACATCCAGGCTTTCACCTAGATTTTCTGAAATTTAGGCAGAGCCTCCCATACCTCAACTCTTGTACTCTGTGCACCCGCAGGCTTAACACCACCTGGAAACCACCAGGGTGTATAGCTTTTGCCCTCTGAAGCAGCAGCCTGAGTACCTGGGACATTTTGAGCCATGGCTGGGGCTGGAGCAGTTGCATGCAGGAGGCAGTGTCCTGAGCCTGTGCAGGGCAGTGGGGCCATGGGCCTGGCCCATAAAACTCTTCTTTTTTCCTAGGCCTCCAGGTGTATAATAGGAGGGACTACTGTGAAGGTCTCTAAAATGCCTTCAGAACCTTTTTTCACTGTCTTGGCTATTAGTACTTGCTGTCCTTTTATAGGTTGGTGCACAAGTAATTGCAGCATTTGCCATTGAAAGTAATGGGAAAAACCGCAATTACTTTTGCACCAACCTAATATTTATGTCAATTTTCTAAAGCAGTCTTGAATTCCTCCCTTGAAAATAGGTTTTTCTTTTCTGCTGCATGGCAAGGCTACAAATTTTCCTGACTTTTATGTTCTACTTCCCTTATTTTTAGAAGTTTCAGTTTTACATTATTTGTTTGCTCATGAATGTGAGAATAGGCTGCTAGAAGCAGACAGGCCACATTTTGACTGCTTTTCTTTCTAGAAATTTCTTCCACCAGATATCCTAAATAATCACATTCAAGTTCAAATTTTCATAGATTTCTAGGACAGGGTCACAATGCCTCTAACCTCTTTGCTAATGCGTAGGAAAAGTGACCTTTGCTCCAGTTGCCAATAAGTTCCTCATCCCCATCTGAGACCTTCTCAGCCTGGATTTCATTGTCCATATCACTGTCAGCATTTTGGCCACAACAGTTTTAAGAAGTCTCCAGGAAGTTTCAAACTTTGCCACATCTTTCTGTCTTCTTCTGAGCCCTCCACACTCTTCCAGCCTCTGCCAGTTACCCAACTTCAAAGTTACTTCCACATTTTTAGGTATCTTTATAGTAATGCCCCATATCTGGTACCAATTTTCTGTATTAGTTCCTTCTGGCACTACTATAAAGAAATACGTGAAACTGGGTAATTTATAAATAAAAGAGGTTTAATTGGCTCATGGTTCTGCAGGCTGTACAGGAAGCTTGGCTGGGGAGGCCTCAGAAAACTTTCAATTATGGTGGAAGTGGAAGCAGGCACATCTTACATGGCTAGAGCAAGAGGAAAAGAGAGAATGGAAAGGTGTTACACACTTTTAAATAACAAGATTTCATGATAACTCACTATCATGAGAATATCAAGGGGGAAATCTGCCCCCATGATCAAATCACCTCCCACCAGGCCCCTCCTCCAACATTGGGGATTACAATTCAACATGAGAGTTGGTCATGGGCACAAATCTAAACCATGTCATCTCTGTTAGTAAACTAAAAGTAATTAATTGCTCACTCTCACAAACATTGAAAACTACTCACCCTAGAGACTAGTAGGTTATTAAGTGCATATTTTTTTGGAAGGAGGTTGCTACAGAGGCTATCAGGAATAAAGATTTTTCACCTATAAAGTATACAGTAGACTGACTCCAAAGTGATTTAAAATTGACGCAAACAGCTTGATTCATGATTAGCAGAAAGACAAATAAACCTTCATTTGAAGCTCTAGGCATACATAACCTCCATGTATTGTCAATAAAGCAATTCTTAAATGTAGAAAAAGCAACAATAAACTCTGTTATGACTTTGATATTTTTAATTCAGAGAAATGGCTTAATTAAAATTAGGTTGTAACTTATTTCATAGTTGTGATCAGAAAATGCAAGTCTTGTGAGAAAAGAAGTAAACAAGAAAAGCATCCTCAGTGTTAAATTATTGTACTTTGTTTTAAAATGCAACCATATGTCACTAATCAGCAACTTGATTATGGAGTTGACTTCAGAGGCTACATAGTAAGGAAATGAGATTTACCTGGTGATGTTTTTCTTCTTTTTGGTCCCTATTAATTTCTAGTTTAGACATTTTTAAGATCTCCCCCAACAGAGGAAACATGGTAGAGGATATGATAATTTGGACTGAGAAAAGCTTTGATTCAACTCAGCTCCAACACTTACTAACAACTTGAGAAATTTATTTAAATTCTCATCTGTAACCTCATCTATAAAATGGAGATAATAATGGTACCTATTAGATTGGGCTGTTCTGGGTATTGAGTGAAATAATATATGCACTGTACTTGACCCCATAATTGGCATATGGTAAATGTTAAGTTTTCATCTTCCTTCAGTGGATGCAGAGGGCCAGTAGAACTGGAAAAACCTAGAAAACATCTTTGGATATGAACAGAAAGTTGTCCACTTTGTGGTAGTTTTTATTCCCTAGTACATTAAGTATTGGCCAGGCATAATTGAGTGGCTAACATGATATAGTAGACCAGTTCAAGAAACATTTCTCTAAAATGTATGAGTGAAGTGCTCTGTTTCAGGTAATAGTGTTAAATCCCTTCACGTTAACATATCTGTCCCTGATGTTGAAGGATGTCTTCCTGGAACTAAACCCTGTAGCCTCATTACTGCAACCAGACTGCAAGTAGGGGAGAATGGTGGCAACTTAGTCATGAAATTCTCCCTCATCTCCTGTCTTCAGAGATGTGCTTTCCCATGTGACACATTTTCTCTTGGGTTACGATACCAATAATGTGGTAAGATGGAGAATGATTTTATATCTGGACCTAAATGCATATACAAACGAAATGGCAGTTTTACCCATAACCTTAGGGCTGTTACAGAATTATAAGGCAAACAGATGAAGCGACTTTCTTCTCATTTAATTCACTCACTTCCCAAGTGTAGGTATGAATTTCTTTCTCAGTAAAATGTGGGGCTAGAATTGATAATCTCAAAGATTTTTGTTGGCTCCATTTTTTTGATTAATCTTTACACAGAGAAATTAAAAAAAGACGTTTTATGATGACGGGGGCCTGCCCCTTCACACCTGTGGGTGTTTCTCGAAAGGTGGAGATGAGAGACTGAGAAAAGAAATAAGACACAGAGACAAAGTATAGAGGAAGAAAAGTGGGCCCAGAGGACCGGCGCTTAGCATACGGAGGACCCGCACCGGCACCAGTCTCTGAGTTCCCTCAGTATGTATTGATCACTATCTCTACCATCTCTGCGAGGGGGAAGTGGCAGGACTATAGGGTAATGGTGGGGAGAGGGTCCGCAGGAAAACATGTGAGCAAATGATTCTGTGTCATAAATAAGTTTAAGGAAAAGTGCTGTGCCTCAATGTGCACATAGGCCAGATTTACGTTTGACTTTACACAAACATCTCAGTGCAGTAAAGAGCAGTATTGCCACCAGCATGTCTCACCTCCAGCCATAAGGCAGTTTTCTCCTATCCCAGTAAATAGAAT
The DNA here is from genome assembly GCF_000001405.40 of Homo sapiens. Classification (NCBI taxonomy): domain Eukaryota; kingdom Metazoa; phylum Chordata; class Mammalia; order Primates; family Hominidae; genus Homo; species Homo sapiens. The sequence continues at coordinate 87,972,598 of NC_000023.11, read as the reverse complement.
GTTCAATCGAGTTTTACACTGAGACACTCCATTCTCAGGGACGAGCAGGAGACAGATGCCTTCCTCTTATCTCAACTGCAAAGAGGCCTTCCTCTTTCACTAATCCTCCTCAGCACAGACCCTTTACGGATGTCGGGCTGGGGGATGGTCAGGTCTTTCCCTTCCCACAAGGCCATATCTCAGGCTGTCTCAGTGGGGAGAAACCTTGGACAATACCCAGGCCTTCTTGGGCAGAGGTCCCTGCAGCCTTCCGCAGTGCATTGTGTCCCTGGGTACTCGAGATTGGAGAATGGCGGCGACTTTTATCAAGCATACTGCCTGCAAACACATTTTTAACAAAGCACATTCTGCACAGCCCTAAATCCATTAAACCTTGAGTCAATACAGCACATGTTTCTGGGAGCACAGGGTTGGGGCTAGGGTTACAGATTAACAGCATCTCAAGGCAAAAGAATTTTTCTTAGTACAGATCAAAATGGAGTTTCTTATGTCTTCCTTTTTCTACATAGACAAAGTAACAGTCTGATCTCTCTTTCTTTCCCCCACATTACATCTGTGATTACTGGGTGCTTGACACATTCTAAAAGGACCACTGTGGGGCTTGTTAGATTAGTGACATAAACTCAGGCACTAGAGGTAGACACTACTTTGAACTCTAGCTTTGCCACTTACTAGTCACATGTTATTTGGCTTGTCCTTTAGTTTTTCTGTTATTGTTTCCAATTCTGTAAAATCTAACTCTGAGAGACTTTCAGGGAATTAAAATAAAAAGCATTTTACATAGTGCTTGATGAATAACATTATTAAAATTATTAGCTATGATGGTATGATTACTGGAGCAAAGGAGAGTCAGTCATGGAAGTTTCATAATAGTAGTATTGCCCTGGCAAATAAGGCAGAGGAACAGTTTAAATAGAGTAGCTGTATGTCATTTACATAATTTTCTGTCAAGTCCCCCAAGCCTACGAAGAGATTACTGAGTAGAAATGAAAAGAACAACTTACACACAAATATCTGTGAGCAAAATACAGTGCCAAATTGGGACCATAGTAATAAAGAAAAGGTGAAAGAGAAGAATTTTGTTTTTCCTTTTCACCACAGAACATAACATGACGTCAATGACCTGAGGGGCTTTATGTATCTATAGCACCATCAGTATCAGTGATTTGGAGACACTCTCTAGTGGCAATAGCAGCAAGACACCTTCTTGGTGTTTTGTTGTATTTAAGAGGACTTTGTTCACAAATATTACCTCCACTTTGGGTTCTTATAACAAACACCCCATTAGATGTTTATTTTTTTTAATGTCATCTGTACAAGAGACACTGTTAATTAATGTCTGACTCTCAAACTCAACCTTGACATAGATCATCAAAATAAGCAAATGAAAGCATCTGCTGCCTTGAGAAGAAAAATGGCAAACTCCAGATGGCAACTGTGAGGGCTACTCGTTAACTCATGAGGGCTCTCCTCTAGGAAATTCCCAAAAATATTTGTGGGAAGGAGACTTGAAGGGAAGCGGAAAGTTCTGAGTTGATGAGACAGGGCACAGGCAGAGACAGAGCATGTCTGGACTATTATTGTGACTTTATTTAGTTTGTTGGGTTTTTTTAACTTGCAGGAAGAAATGGAATGATAAATATTGACTGTGTTGTAAGCTTGGTAGTGAGTTAGAAATCATCAGCACTTTGTATATCTGTATTGTGAACTAGAATTCAAAACTCCCTGTAAATCTTAGCAAAGGCCTTCTATTTCCAGACTGTTTACATTATTCAGAACTAGTGAAGGTATTTATTTTTGTAGAAGATTTATCAAAATCTTTCTCCTCTTAACTCCTATAATCATCTCCATCTTGTAGGAACTTATTAAAGATAAGCATATTGCTGAATGTTGCCAAAAGAAAATAAAACAGCCTCCCTAAATGTAACAATTAAGTAAATTATTAATTGTTTAATGCCATCATCTTGAAAACATACATATGGCATCTAGGGGAAAAAAGCTATCACACTAACTAAAAAGCCCTAAATGGTTGATATAATCACAAGTACTGAACTTGTGTGTAACTGCACATTATTAATTTTATTGGCATGTAACACTTTCTCCAAAGGGCATACTTTGTTCAGTATTTAAAAGTAAGTGATGCAGATCTTTTTCATATCTATGCAGTATAAATCATAAGTAAAAGGAGAACACCTTTTTTTAATGTAAAAAGCAATATTCGGCCAGTTTGTTTTGCTACTCCCTGTTTCCTTTGTTAAGAACATTTTAAAATAGCAATAATGACATCTGCTGGTCAGTTCATTGAGTCTGGAAATAAATGGAGATCTGTCTCCAGAGAACTGCAAAAAACAAAACAAAACAAATGGATAATTGGAAACGTATTCACATTATATTTGTTAAATTTTGTGAAATCTAAAACTCAGTCATTAAGATTTTAGGCTTAAACAAGATATTTGATATGTAATACAATTCTTAAGTAAATTAACCTTCCACAATCTCAGAGTCTTTATTACCATAAGCAGTTTTGGGCTTGTTGACATTCTGTGAGCTATTGACAAGAAATGTCCATCTGTACTAGTTCCGGTAATGCCTGGGAACCTTAGTGCTACGTTGATGCCTTAATGTATAGATATATTACACTGGAAAAATGTGTTAGCTTAAATCTTTTTTATTTTTATTTTTTGAAGTGATGTCAATTTGAAGGATGCTAATACCTTTAAAAATTGAACTATACTCAGGCAATTCCTATGATTACCGGGAAGGACATTTTTGTATGAACCACAAGCTATATAAGTAGAGATTGCATTATGGCATTGATTTGGTTATGCCTTTATTTCAAATTTTTTTAAATGTCCATGAAGGTGAAAAAAAATAAGGACAAGTCAGAATGCCGATAATGTTTGCATTTTTGAAATATATTTTTTCCTATTTTTATTTTTGTTTTAGCTTTTCAAAATATAACTTTTGTATCAGTCCATTCTCACATTGCTATAGAGACATACCTGAGACTGAGTAATTTATAAATTAGGTTTAATTGGCTCATGGTTCTGCAGGCTATGCAGGAGGCACAACAGCTTCTGCTCAGCTTCTGAGGAGGCCTCAGGAAACTTAGAATCATGGCGGAATGTGAAGGGGGAGCAGGAGCAAGAGAGAATGTAGAAGGAGGTGCTACACAGTTTTAAACAACCAGTTCTCATTATAACTCACTCACATACTATCACAAGAACAGCACCAAGAGGATGGTGCTCAACCATTCATGAAGGACTACACCCATGATCCAATGACGTCTCACCAGGCCCCACCTCCAACATTGGGAATTACAATTTGACATGAGAATTGGGTGGGGACACAGATCCAAACCACATCAACTTCAAATATGTCTTGGGCATTGAACATGGAGGGTAATCATGATGCTCTAATATTTGTAGAGTGGCAGAAATTATCTCTGAAATGAACGTAATCTCCACTTGGTTTGATTTTAAGACCTTCTTATTTCCAGCAACCGGAAGTGTATCCCACAATAGAATATTCTGGGGAGGGACGGAGCTCTAATTGAAATAGAATTCTCCTGTAGTATATATATATATATATATATATACACATATATATATATACATATATATATACACATATATATATACATATATATACATATATACATATATATACGTATATATATACATATATATGTATACGTATATATATACACATATATATATACACATATATATACACACATATATATATACATATACATATATATATATATAAACTAGAGATGCTCTCAGAGAGGAGGAATTTGGGGACAGAAAGTCTCCATTGGTACCCCAATAGAATAAGAAATTTTAGAACTAATCACAGGTTTTTCCACTCTCTGGATCTCTAAAGAAAAATAAGAGCACAACGCCATTGGGAGTCATCCCTGCACACACACCACATCATATAAAGTTTAGTATACTCCTAAAAGTGTGTTCCATAGACCACAAAGATCAAAATCACCTGAAAAGCATATAAAAATGGAGCCCCCTGGGCCCCATCCCAGACCTACTACATTAGGTGCTAGAGGTACAGCAGTGAACAAAAAAGAAAAATATCCTTGCCCTCATAGAACTTACAGTCCAGTGGTTCTTAATCAATAAAATAGAAATTGCGTTAGTATAGAAGAGGCAGATCGCAAAGCAGTAACTAAGATGATTTAGTCAAATGAAAGATTGAAAGAGCTATTTTACCACAGGTAAGATGATATGGTGGTCTGGAATTGGGTGGGAAGGATAAACTGCTGACAAGCATTTTTTACTCAGGATTGCTGTAAAGAAAAAAAAATAGGGAAAATTAAAAAGAAAATAAAATACTGCAAAGAATGAAAAAGGAGAAAAAATAAAGGGAATAAAGGGACAAAAATTTTAAAACAATGGGTTAAGTTTGTGTTTGAGAAAGTGCAGGAGTGGGGAAGATGCATGCAACTTTTCCAGATAAAGAAGAAAATAACAAAATAGGCAATGCTGATTAGAACCCGAAGTTGAAGTATAATAAAAGCATACTAAAAGTGTAAAGGAGAGTAATTAGAGGTAATAGCAACAGCAATAGAGAAAAGAGATTTGGGAAGACATGCGGAGAGTGAGGAGGAAATATTGAAGGAGGGAATGCAAAACCTGTGATCAGAAGGACACCAAGGCAAAGAATTGAGGCTGATACTAGAGGAACAAGTGGGAGTACACATGGATAAAAAAAGAAATAGTCACAACTGATAAGTGGAAAAATGTTTTTCATTTGATGTTTTTCTAGAAGTATCCTCTTTACTTTTCCATCATACTGTTACTTGTCTTGTATTGTGTCCAACAGTAATGAATAGAAGTTGGAATCCTTCTTCAGAAAAGGAAAGAAAAATACTCTGAACTTCAGCAAGATGAATTATCACTGTATCTTTATTCTATTCTCTACTGTGAACACTTTTTAAAAATGCAAATTGTGCTCCTGAGGACAGCAGGACTTACGATGCTCCCAAGTTTTCGAAGGTTTAGTGTTTACCTAACAATGCCAGCTTGTTTAGTTCTCCACCCTCACCCTCTTTACAAACAATTCTGTTTTCTTGTAAGGATACATCTCCCTTAAATAAACTTCCTATAAACTTTCTAGTTTCTCTTTCAAGAGCCTATAATTTTAATAAGCATTTTAGTAGAATGTTTTGCACTTCAGAAAATCCAAGCCATTAATTTTCAAAAGTAGACTCCACATTGTAAACATAGTTCAGAAATACAGAAAAAATTAGAGATTAAAGTAACAAACAAAGAAATATCTATGACCTATAATTAACTAAAAGTTACCATTTAATTCTTTTTGGTTTCTGAGTTTATGCCCACCGGTGCATATAAACGAAGCAAAATCATTGTTAACCTGGAGTCCTTTTTTCTCTTCCCCAGGCCCAATCCCATCCATCCCACTGTCACCATCCCTGCTTTAGAGGAAATTAATAAAATAAATTTGTTGTGCTTGGTAGTTCATTTTAATCTTCTTAAAAATATTATGTGTATGCATATATACACATTAATTAACATTATATAGCATTACTTAGCATCTTTTATTTATTTTATTTTAACTTTATTTTATTCACTTTCTGTGTTAAGAACACTTAACATGAGATTTACACTCTTAACAAAGTTTTAACTGTACAATACATTACTGTTGCTTTAGGTATAATATTGTACAGCAGATTGCAAGAGCTTACTCATTTCTGTATAACCGAAACTTTATGCCAATTTATTAGTAATATTTTATTTCCCTCTCCCTGCAGCTAGTGGCTGTCACCACTTCACTCTTTGATATTATAAATTTGACTATTTTGTTTTATTTATTTATTTACATCTTTTATTTCAATAGCTTTTGGGGTATAAGTGGTTTTTGGTTGCATGGATACATTCTATAATGTTGAATTCTGAGATTTTAATGCACCTGTCACCCTAATGTTATACGCTGTATGTAGTTTTTTGTCCCTCAGCCTCCTCCCACCTTCTCCCTTATGAGTTCCTAAAGGTCATCATATCAGTCTGTATGTCTTTGCATCCTCATAGCTTAGCTCCCCCTTACAACTGAGAAAATAAGGTATTTTGTTTTATATTCCTGAGTTACCTCACTTAAAATAAAGGCATCCAGTTCCATCCAAATTGCTGCAAAAGATAATTTTGTTCATGTTTATGGATGGCTGAGTAGTATTTCATGCTGCATATACCGCATTAAAAAAATACACTCATTGGTTGATCGGCACGTCAGTTGGTTTTATAATTTTTGCAATTGTGAATTGTGCTTCTATAAACATGTGTGCATGTGTCTTTTTCATACAATGACTTATGTTTTTTGGGGGGGTAGATACACAGCAGTTGGCTTGCTGAATCAAATGGTAGATCTAGTTTTAGTTTCTTAGGAATCTCCATACTGTTGTCCATAGAGGTTGTACTAATTTACATTCCCACCAGCAGTGTATAAGTATTCTCTTTTCACTACATCCATAGAAATATCTAGGGAGTTTTTTTAATGTTTTAATTAGTGCCATTCTTGCAGGATTTAGGTGGTATCTAATTATGGTTTTAATTTGCATTTCCCTAATGATTAATGATGTTGAGCATTTTTTCATTGGACATTTGTAAATCTTCTTTTGAGAAATATCTACTCATGTCCTTTACACACTTTTTGATGAAATTATTCATTTTTTTTCTTGCTGATTTGTTTGAGTTCCATATAGCTTCTGGATACTGGTCTTTCCAGATGCATGGCTTAAAAATATATTCTTCCATTCTGTTGGTTGTTTGCTTACTCTACTGATTATTTCTTTTGTTGTGCAGAAGCTTTTTAGTTTAATTAGGTCCCATTTATTTATTTTTGTTTTGGAGGCATTTGATTTTGGGGTCTTAGTCATGAATTCTGTGCCTGGGTTGGTGTCCAAAAGAGATTTTTCCAATGTTATCTTCTAGAATTTTTATGTTTTCAGGCTTTAGATTTAAGTCTTTGATCATTCTTGAGTTGATTTTTGTATAAGGTGAGAAATGGGAACCCAGTTTCCTTCTTCTACATGTGGTTTGGCAGTTTTCCCAGCACCATTTACTGAATAGGGTGTCCTTTTTCCAATTTATGTTTCAGTATGCTTTGTCAAGGATCAGTTGGCTATACGTATCTGCCTTTATTCCCGGGTTCTCTATTCAGTTCCATTTTTATATGTGCCTACATTTATACCAGTAGCATGCTGTTTGGTAAGTATAGCTTTGTAGTGTAACCCAAAATTCAATAATGTGGTGCCTCCAGATTTGTTATTTTTGCTTAGAATTGGTTTGGCTATTCAGGCTCTTTTTGGGTACTATATAAATTTTAGGATTGTTTTTACTAATTCTGTGAAAAATTATGATGGTATCATAATGGAAATTGCATTCAATCAGTTGATTGCTTTGAGAAGTATGATCATTTTTACACTATTGATTCTTCCCATCCATCAGCATGAGATGTGTTTTCATTTTTTGTGTCATCTATGATTTATTTCAGCAGTGTTTGTTTGTCATTCTCTTTGTAGCAATATTTCATCTTCCTAGTTGTTTTTCTTTTTTTTGCAGCTGTTGTAATTAGGATTGAGTTCCTGATTTGATTCCCAATTTGTTCATTGAATGGTGCCTATTAGTGCAACTGATTTGCATACATTGATTTTGTAATGTGAGACTTCACTTAATTTGTTTATCAAATATAAGAGTCTTTTGAAGGAGTCTTTAGGATTTCCTAGGTATACAATTATATCATCTTCAAACAGTAATAGTTTGACTTCCTCTTTTCCGATTTGGATGTACTTTATCTCTTTCTTTTATGTAATTGCTCTGGCTAGTACTTCCAGAACTATGTTGAATAGGAGTGGTGAAAGTGGGCATCCTTGTCTTGTTCCAGTTCTCAGGGGGAATACTTTCAGCATTTCCCTATTCAGCATGATGTTGGCTGTGAGTTTATCATACATGGTTTATATTATTTTGAGGCAGGTTCCTTCAGCTGATGGATTCATCTGTGAATCTACCTGGTCCTGGGCTTTATTTTGTTGGCAATTTTTTTATATTATTGATTCAACCTTGGTGCTCACTATTGGTCTGTTTAGGGTTTTTAATTGTTTCTGATTTAATCTAGGAGGGTTTTACATTTCCAATAATTTGTTCATTTTCTCTAGTTTTTCTAGTTTCTGCACACAAAGGTGTTAATAGTAGTCTCAAACAATCTTTTGTATTTCTTTGGTGTCAGTTGTAATAGCTCCAATTTCATTTCTAACTGAGCTTATTTAGACCTTCTCTCTTCTTTTCTTGGTTAATCTAGCTAATGGTCTATCAATATTGTTTATATTTTCAGTGACCCAACTTTTCGTTCTGTTTTTCTTTTGTATATTTTTTGTTTTAATTTAATTTCATTCTGCTCCGATTTTTGTTATTTCTTTTCTTCTGCTAGCTTTGGGTTTAGCTTGCTCTTTTTTCTCTAGTGACAGTCGGTTGTCAATTTGTGCTCTTTTGGACTTTTTGATGTACGTATTCAGTACTGTAAATTTTTCTCTTAGCACTGCTTTTTTGGTATCTCTGAGGTTGTAGTAACTTCTGTCACAATTATTATTCATTTCATAGGATTTTTAATTTTTCATCTTGATTTCATTATTAGCCCAAAAATCGTTTAGGAGTAGATCATTTAATTTCCACGTATTTGTATAGTTTTGAAGATTCCCTTAAGAGTGAATTTATAACTTTGTTTCACTGTGGTCTGAGAAGATACTTGATATGGTTTTGATTTTCTTTAATGTATTGATACTTATTTTGTGATTAATCATATGGTCTACCTTGGAGAAATGTTCCATGTGCTAATGAGAAGAATATATATTTTGCAGTAGTTAGGTAGAATGTTCTGTCATTACATGTTAAGTTCATTTGCTCTAGAGTGTAGTTTAATTTCATTGTTTGGTAACTTTCTGTCTTGATTATCTGTCTAGTGCTTTCACTGGCATATTGAGGTCCCTTACCACTATTGTATTGCTGCCTATCTCACTTCTTTGGTCTAGTAGCAACTGTTTTATAAATCTGGTAGCTCCAGTGTTAGGTGTCTACGAATTTTAAATTTAATATATCCTTGTTGGATTTATACTTTTATTATTATCTAATGACCTTATTTGTCTTTTTTTAATTGTTGTTGCTTTAAAGTCTGTTCTGTCTGATATAAATTTAACAAAAACTCTTGCTCACTTTTGATTTTCACTTGCATAAATTAACCCAAAACTCCTGCTCGCTTTTGGTTTCAATTTGCATGGAATATCTTTTTTCAAACGTTTACCTTGAGTTTATGTGAATCCTTCTGTGTTTGGTGAGCCTTTTGAAAACAGCACGTATTTGGTTTTTGAGTTTTTATTTATTCTGCCATTCTATATCTTTTAAGTGGAGCATTTAGGCCATTTACCGTCAATGTTAACATTGAGATGTAAGCTAGTATTCTATTTATTATGTTTATTGTTGCCTTAATATTTTGGGGTTTTTTTGTTGTGTTTTTGTTTTACAGCCCTTGTGCATTTTATGCCATTAAGATGTTCTATTTTGCTGCATATTGAGCTTTCCTTTCAATAATTGAAACTTTTTTTTAGTATTTCTTGTAGTTCTGGTTTTGCAGTGACAAATTCCCTTAGCATTTGTTTCTCTGAAAATTACTTTATTTCTCCTTCATTTATAAAACCTAGTTTTGCTGTGTGCAAAATTATTGGCCAACAATTTTTCTGCTTAAGGATGCTGAATGTAGGACCACAATCCTCTCTGGCATGTAGGGTTTCTGCTGAGAAGTCTGCTGATAGTCTGACAGGTTTTCCTTTATAAGTTACCTGATACTTTTGTTTTACTGCTCTTAGAATTCTTTTCTTCATGTTGACTTTAGATAACCTGATGACTATGTGCCTTGGTGATTATCTTCTGCAATGAATTTCCCAGAAGTTATTTGAGCTTCTTCTTTTATATATATATGTATAGTCAGAGACGTTTTTCTCAATTATTCCCTCAAATAAGTATTCCAAACTTTTCACCTTCTCTTCTCCCTCAGGAGTACCAATTATTCTTAGATTTGGTCATTTTACACAATCCCATATTTTTTTTGAGAACTTTGTTCATTTCTTTTTCTTATTTTCTCTTTATTTTTGTCTGACTAGGTTAATTTGAAAGCCTCATCTTTGAGCCCTGAAATTCTTTCTTCTACTTATTCTAGTCCATTTTTAAAACTTTCCACTGCATTTTGTAATTCACTAATAGTGTCTTTTATTTTCGGAAGATATGATTGGTTTTTCTTGATGATATCTGTTTTTCTAGAAATTTTTTCGTATATATTCTAAACTGCTTTTTAAATTTCTTTATATGGGTTTTCACCTTTCTCTGATATCTCCTTGAGTAGCTTAATAATAAACTTTTTGAATTCTTTATCTGATATTTCAAAGATTTCATCTTGGTTTGAATTAATTGCTGGGATACTAGTGTGATTTTTTGAGGGTGTTATCAAATCCTGTTTTCTCATATTACCAGAATTAGTTTTCTGGTTCCTTCTAATTTGAGTAGACTCTTTCTTCTAATAATTCTTCAATTTATTTTTTATTTCACTTTAGTTTGTTTTTCAATTTTTCCCCTTAAAGATATGACTTTAATATTTATAGTCCATTATAGCCTTTTATTTTTCTTGTTGCTTCTAGGGATAAAGACTCTGTATAAATTCCTTAATTATAGAGAGTCTTTGTGTTATGACTTTCTCAGATGTTGGTTGTAGTACTAATACACTTGGTATGTGAGCAAATTTGCTGTCTTCTATTGCTACTACAACTAGAGATGCTATAATGAACTGTTTCAGTTGGCCTCCAGCCAGGAGGTGGTACTGCAAAAGATCACCAGCTGTGATACTAGCAGCAGAATTGGTGTTTGCTCTATGTCGTCCAGGGGAGGTACTCTGGTTTCTCAGGTTATGGGTGGGGCCACAAAGCTCCCAACACTTTCTGTCTTTTGTGTTAAATTACCGGGGTAAGTGGAGAGGCAGAGTCAGATCCGGGCTGAGTCAGGTAGGTCAGTGCTCTGGCTCTCCACATGCGGAGCCATCTTCAGCCCCTGTAGGGTATGAGGGGTGGTTCTCAGGCTACTGGGGTAATATTCCAGAGGGCACTGTAAATGCCTATGCTGCACAGAAGAGTTTGCACAGGGAGTGTGGATTAGCAGGAGGCAGTAAGCCTCACCTAGATCCCATGCACCTGGCAAGGCAGATCTCACTCCCGCAGTGCTTCGCTAGCAGCAGCAAGCTAAGTTCCAGGTAGCCTGTGCTCAGAACTCAGACCTGGCCAGGCAATAAGCTTTCCTTGCAGAGATAGCAACCATGACTTTTAGGCCATGTCCCTCCCCATTTGCTTGCTAAGCTAGGCACCCAGCTCTTGAACTTTTGGCTATGACACACTTTGCACTCACCCACGAGTTTTTGGCCAAGGAAGTTTATTGCCCCTTGAGTTTACATCATGAAATTCACCTGGGAGCTTCTTTCAACCTGTGCTCACTGCCTGAGCTAGTTGGTTCACTTTTGTGTGGTGCCTCCAATTTATCATCTCGGAGTAAAAAAAAAATTGAGTATTTTAGATACCTCATATAAATTGAATTATGCAATGTTTGGATTTCTGTGTCTGGCTTATTTTACTTAACAAAATCTCAAAATTTATCCAGAGTGTTACATATTACAAAATTTTCTTTTTAAAAGACTGAGTGACTTTAAATGATATTCCAATGTATGTGTATGCCACATTTTCTTAATCTAGTCATCTCCCCATGAACACATAGGTTTTTATCCATATCTTATTTTTTGTGAATAGTGCTACAATGAACATTAAAGTTTAAATGTCTCTTTGCCATCCTGATTTCAATTCTTTGGATAAATACCCACAAGTGGGATAGCTGAATCACATGATTGTTCTATTTTAAAATTTTTGGGGAGCATCCATGCTTGTTTTCTACAACAGCTGCACCATTTTGCACTTCTGCCAACAATGTGCAAGGGTTTCAATTACTTGATATCCTCTTGAACACTTGTTGTCATTTGTTTTTTGATAATAATCATTCTGATAGGTGTGAAGCAATATTATGTGGTGATTTTGATATGCATTTTTCTGATGATTAGTAACATTGAGCATGTTTTCATATAGCTCGTGGCCATTTTTAGGTCTTCTTTGGAGAAATGTCTACCACATTTTCTTAATCTAGTCATCTCCCCATGAACACATAGGTTTTTATCCATATCTTGTTTTTTGTGAATAGTGCTACAATGAACATTAAAGTTTAAATGTCTCTTTGCCATCCTGATTTCAATTCTTTGGATAAATACCCACAAGTGGGATAGCTGAATCACATGATTGTTCTATTTTAAAATTTTTGGGGAGCATCCATGCTTGTTTTCTACAACAGCTGCACCATTTTGCACTTCTGCCAACAATGTGCAAGGGTTTCAATTACTTGATATCCTCTTGAACACTTGTTGTCATTTGTTTTTTGATAATAATCATTCTGATAGGTGTGAAGCAATATTATGTGGTGATTTTGATATGCATTTTTCTGATGATTAGTAACATTGAGCATGTTTTCATATAGCTCGTGGCCATTTTTAGGTCTTCTTTGGAGAAATGTCTATTCAATTCCTTAACTCATTTTTAAATTGAGTTATTATTATTATTTGAACTATTGCATCATAGGAGTTCCTTATATACTTTTGAGATTAACTTCTTTTCAGATATATTTTTTGGAAACATTTTCTCCCACTCCATAGGTTGTTTTTCACTTTGTTGATGGTTTTTTTTTTGCTGTGCAGAAACGTTTTAGGTTAACGTAGTCCCACTTGTTTATTTTTGTTTTTGATATCTGTGATTTTGGTCTTGTATTAAAGAATCATTGCCAATACCTATGTCATAAAGCTTCTCACCTATATTTTAAAAAAATATTTAGAGGTTGGGGTCTTACTTTTTTGTCTTTCATATCTTTTTAATTGATTTTGTGTATGGTGTAATTTCCTTATTTTGTATGTGGATATTCAGTTTTCCCAACAATATTTGTTACAGAGATGATCTTTTCTCCCTTATTTATTCCTGGCACCCTTGTCGAAGACAAATTAACCATATATAAATGACTTTACTCCTGGGATCTCTATTCTGTTCTGTTGGTCTATGGGTCTTTGTGTCTGTCTTTATGCCAATATCATGGTCTTTTGATTACCATATCTTTGTGATATATTTTAAAATCAGAAAGTGTGATGCCTCCTGCTTTGCTTTTCATCCAAGATTTCCTTGGTTATTCTCAGTTTCTTGTGGTTAAGTATGAGTTCTATTTTTATTTTAATTTTTATTGTTTTTACTATAGATTCAGGGAGTATACGTACACATTTGTTATATGAGTATATTGCATAATGATAGGGTTTGGATTTCTAGTGAACTCATCACCTAAATAATGAATATCGTACACAGTAGGTAGTTTGTCATCCCTTGCTCCCCTCCCTCCCTTCCACCTCTATTAGGCCTCAGTGTCTATTATTGCCATCTCTATGTTCATGTGTACACATTGCTTAGCTCTGACTAATAAGTAAGAACTTATTAATCAAATAAGGTGTTTGATTTTCTATTTCTGCATTATTTCACTTAGGATAATGGCCTTCAGTTGCATCCATGTTGCTGCAAAGGACATGATTTCATCATTTTTATGACTCTGTAGTATTTCATGGTGTATATATAACATGTTTTCCTTATCCAATTCACTGTTGATGGACACTTAGGTTGATTTCATGACTTCGCTTTTGTGAATAGTACTGTGATGAGCATACAGGTTCAGGTATATTTTTGATAAAACAATTTTATTTCTTTGTAAAGATACTCAGTAGTAGAATTACTGGGTCAAATAGTAGTTCTACTTTTAGCTCTTTGAGAAATCACCATACTGTTTGATATACAGTTTGAACTAATTTACATTCCCACAAACAGTGTATAAGAGAGTTCAATTTTCACCACATCCTCACCAATGACTGTTATCTTTTGACTTTATAATAATAGCAATTCTGACTGCTGGGAAATACTATCCCATTGTTCTTTTAATTTGGATGTCTCTGGTGATTAGTGATGTTGAGCATTTTTTCATATGTTTGTCGGCCAGTTGTATGCTGTGTTAGTCTTTTCATACTCCTATGAAGAACTGCCTGAGACTGTAATTTATAAAGAAAAGAGGTTTAATTGACTCACAGATCAGCATGGTTGGGGAGACCTCAGAAAACTTACAATCATGGTGGAAGGCAAAGAAAAAGCAAGGTACCTTCTTCACACAACAGCAGGAAGGAGGATGAATGCAGGAGGAACTATCACACACTTATAAAACCATCAGATCTTATGAGAACTCACTCACTATCATGAGAACAGCATGCAGAAAAATGCCCCCATGATTCAATTACCTCTACCTGGTTTCTCCCTTGATGAATGGAGATTATAAGGATTATGCGGATAATGGGGATTACAATTCAAGATGAGATTTTGGGTGGGGATGCAGCCAAACCATATCATACATCTTCTTTTGAAGTGTGTTTATTCGTATCCTTTGTCCACTTTATAATGGGGTTATTTTCTCTTGTTGATTTGTTTAAGTTCCTTATAGGTTTGGATATTATTTCTTTGTTAGATGTATAGTTTACAAATATTTTCTTTCATCCTGTCACCCTGCATGTTATCTGTTTGCCCTGTTGATAGTTTCTTTTTCTTTGCAGAAGCTCTTTATTTTAATTAATTACTATTTGTCTATATTTATTTTTGCTGCATTTGATTTCAAGAATTTAGTCTTAAATTTTTTATCTAGGCCAATGTCCAGAAGAGATTTTCCTAGGTTTTCTTCTAGAACTTTTAGTTTAAGTTCTTACATTTAAGTCTTTAATCCATCTTGAGTTAATTTTTGTGTATGGTGAGAGGTAGGTGTCTAGTTTCATTCTTCTGCATATGGGTAGCCAGTTTCCTCACCACCATTTACTGAATAGGGTGTCCTTTCCCAGTGGTTTATTTTTGTTGACTTTATCAAAGATGCATCGGCTGTACGTGTGTGGTTTTATTTCTGGGTTCTCTATTCTGTTCTATTGATCTGTGTGTCTATTGTTACACCAGTATTGTGCTGTTCGGACTATTGAAGCCTTATAGTATAATTTGATGTCAGGTAATGTGAAACCTCTCACTTTGTTGCTTTTGCTTAGTATTGTTTTGTGTATTCAACCTCTTTTCTGGTTTTATATGTATTCTGTAATTGTTTTTATCTACTTCTGTGAAAACGATGTTGCTAATTTCATAGGAATTATGTTAAATCTAGAGTATTTTGAGCAGTATGGTCATTTTAACAACATTGATTCTTCCAATTAATGAGCATGGAATGTTTTTCTATTTGTTTGTGTCACCCACAATTTCTTTCATCAGTGTTTTATAGATCTCTTTGTAGATACCTTCAACTTCTTTGTTAAATTCATTTCTATATATTACAATTTTTATGGCTATTGTAAGTAAGATTGAGTTATTGATTTTGTTCTCAGCTTGAACATTATTGGTGTATATAAAAGCTACTGATTATTGTATGTTGCTTTTGTATCCTGTAACTTTACTGAAGTTTTTCATCTAATTGAGGAGTCTTTTGGACAAATCATTAAGGTTTTTTAGAGGTAGGATCATTATCAGCAAACAGATAATTTGGCTTCCCCTTTTCTTATTTAGGTGCCTTTTATTTGTTTGTTTTGCCTGATTACTAAGACTCCCAGCACTATGTTGAATAGGGATGGTGAGTGTGGGCATTCTTGTCTTGTTCCAGTTGCTAGGGGAGAATGCTTACAAATTTTGTCCATTCAATATGATGTTGGCTGTGTGTTTGTCATTTATAGATCTTATTATCTTGAGGTATGTTCTTTGAATGCCTAGTTTGTTGAAGGTTTTTACCGTGAAAAGATACTGGATCTTATAGAATGCTTTTTCTGCATCTATTCAGATAATCTTTTTTTTTAATTGTTTATGTGGTGAATCACTTTTATTGAATGACACATGTTGAACCAAATTTGCATCTCAGGAATGAAGCTTACTTGATTGTGGTAAATTAGCTTTGATATGCTGCTGGATTCTGTTTGCCAGTATTTTGAGATGAACATAAGGTTTTTGTTTTAATTGTTTATGTGGTGAATCACATTTATTGATTTGCATATTTTGAACAATCCTTGCCTCTCAGGAATAAAACCCACTCGGTCATAATAAATTATCCTTTCGGTGTGCTGCTCTATTTGTTTGCTAGTATTTACTTGAGGTTTTTAACATCTGTGATCATTATGGATATTGGTCTAAAATTTTCCTGTCTTGTTTCTTTGCTAGATTTCGGTGTCAGGATGATACTGGTTTCATAGAATGAGTTAGAGAGCAATCCCTCCTTCTTGAGCTTTTGGAATAGTTTCAATAAGATTGTTACTGGATATTTTTTGTACTTCTGGTAGAATTTGATTATGAATCCATTTGGTTCTACAATTTTTTTGGTAGATTTTTTATTACTGACTCAATTTCTTAACTCATTTTTGGTCTGTTTAAGATTTCAATTTTTTCCTGGTTCAGTCTTGGGAGGTTAGGTTTTCCAGTAATTTATTCACTTTTTAGATTTTTCTAGTTTATGTGCATAGAGATGTTAATAGCAGTATCTCAAAATTTTTTGTATTTCTGTTGTATCAGTTGTAATGTCACTTTTTTTTGTTCTGATTGCACTTTTTCTTGATTGATCTAGCTAGAAGACTATCCATTGTGTTTATTCTTTCAAAGAATCCAGTTTTTGTTTTGTTGATCTTTTGTATGGGTTTTTTTTTTTTGTCTCAATTCCATTTAGTTCTGATCTAACCTTCATTTCTGTTTTCTTCTGCTAGTTTTCTGTTTGGTTTATTCTTGCTCTTCTAGTTTCCTTAGGTGTGAAGATAGGTTGTTAATTTGATGTCTTCTTTCTTTTTGATGAAGGCTTTAAGCACTATAAATGTTCCTCTTAACCTTAACTTTTTCTGTATCCCAGGCAATTTGCTATATTGTTCCTCTGTTTCCATTTGTTTAATTTTTTTAAATTTCTGCCTTAATTTTTTTGATTACCCCAAATCATTCAGGAGGAAGTTGTTTAGTTTTCATGCACTTGTGTGGTTTTGAGGGTTCCTCTTGGTATTAATTTATTATTTTTTTCATTATTATACTTTAAGTTCTGGGATACATGTGCAGAACATGCAGGTTTGTTACACATGTATACACGTGCCACGGTGGTTTGCTGCACCCATCAACCCTTCATCTACATTAGGTATTTCTCCTAATGCTATCCCTCCCCTAGCTCCCCAGCCCCCGAGAGGCCCCGGTGTGTGATGTTCCCCTCCCTGTGTCCATGTGTTCTCATTGTTCAACTCCCACTTATACTGAGAACATGCGGTGTTTGGTTTTCTGTTCTTGTGTTAGTTTGCTGAGAATGATGGTTTCCAGCTTCATCCATGTCCCTGCAAAGGATATGAAGTCATCCTTTTTATGGCTGCACAGTATTGCGTGGTGTATGTGTGAAACATTTTCTTTATCCAGTCTATCATTGGTGGGTATTTGGGTTGGTTCCAAGTCTTTGCTATTGTGAACAGTGCTGCAATAAACATACCTGTGCATGTGTCTTTATACTAGAATGATTTGTAATCCTTTGGGTATATACCCAGTAATGGGATTGCTGGGTCAAATGGTATTTCTGGTTCTAGATCCTGGTGTTCACTTTTACTTTTATTTTGCTGTGCTCTGAGAAGGTATTTGACATGATTCTGAATTTTTATAATTTATTTTGACTTGCTTTGTGACTGAGCATCTGGTCAGTTTTAGAGAATGTCCCATGCAAAGTTGACAAAAATGTATAATTCTATGGTTGTTAAATGGAATATTCTGTATTATGTAGATGTCTATTAGGTCCATTTAATCAAGAGTTCAATTTAAGTCTGAAGTTTCTTTGTAAATTTTCTGCCACAATAATCTGTCTAGTGCTATCAGTGGGGTGTTGAAGTACCTTGCTATGTTTTTATGACCACCATCTATTTGCTTAGGTTTAGTAGTATTTGTTTTATAAATCTGGGTGCTCCAGTATTGGGTTCTTATATATTTAGGATAGTTAAGTTTTTTGTTGGATAGAACCCTTTATCATTATATAATGCCCTTTTTGTCTTTTTTAACTGTTATTGTTTTAAAGTCTGTTTTATCTGATAAAAGAGTAGCAACCCGTGCCCTTTTCAGTTTTCCATTTTCATAATAGATATTTCTCCCTAATTTAACTTTGAGCCTGTGGGTGTTATTACAAGTGAGATCGGTCTTTTGAAGGCAGCAATGGGTTGGGTCTTGTTTATTTAATCCAATTTGTGAAATATTTAAAGTGAAATATTTAAAACATTATTTTTAAGGTTAATATTGATATGTGAGGTTTTGTTCCTCTCATGGTGTTGCTAGCTACTTGCTTTGTAGTCTCAATTGCATAATTGCTTTATAAGGCCTGTGAAATTTGTACTTATGTGTGCTTTTATGGTAGCAAGTATCATTCTTCCATTTCCAAGTTTAGAACACCTTTGAGCATTTATTGTACACTTGGTTCTGGTGGTGACAAATTTCCTTAGCATTTTTTCATCAGGAAAGGCTTTATTTCTTCTTCATTTGTGAGCTCATTTTAGCAAAATATGAAATTCTTGGCTGGCTTTTTTTTTTAAGAAGGGTAAAAATAGGCTCCCAATCACCTCTGGCTTGTACATTTCTTGTTGTTAAGTCTGTTGTTAGGCTGATGGGATTGACCTTATAGGTAATTTAGCCATTTTCTCTGCATGCCTTTCAGTTTTTTTTTTCTTTTGTGTTGACCTTGGAGAGTTTGATGACTATATTCCTTGGGGATGGTTGTCTTGTATAGTATCTCACAGGTTCTCTAAATTCTTATATCTGGATGTCAAACTCCCTAAAATGATTCACATAATTTTGCTGAATTATTTCCTCAATTATGTTTTTCAAGACACTTTTTCTTCTCTCACAATCATGCCAATAAATCATAGGTTTGGTCACTTTAAATAATCCCATATTTTTTAAAGCCTTTGTTCATTTTCGTAAAATTCTTTTTTCTTTATTTTTGTCTGACTGGGTTAATTTGAAACACCAGTTTTTGAGCGCTGAAGTTCTTTCTTCTGCTTGGTTTAGTCTACAGTTAAAGCTTTCACTTGTATTTCCAAATTCCCTTAGTGAGTATTTTAATTCTAGAAGTTCTATTTGTGTTTGTCTTAATATAGTTATCTTGTCTTATAAATCCTAAATTGTTTCTCTGGTTTCTTCATTTTGGATAACTTTCTCTTGAATCTTGTTAAGTTTCTTTGCAATCCATATTTCAAATTATTTATCTGTCATTTAAGACTCTTTAATTTGATTAAGATCTATTGCTAGAGATCTAGTGTGATTTTTAGGAGATGTCAAGACATTCTAGCTTTTTGTGCTGCCTGAGTTCTTGTGATGATTCCTTCACATCTGAGAGAGCTGTCACTTCTTATTTTTGAATGTTCTGTCATTTGGATGGAGCGTTTTAATTTTTAATTCTTTTTTCCTTGAGGGTATGACTGTAGTATAAGTTGTGTGTGATTGACTTAGTTTCTGGGTACTTTCAGGGAACTACAGCTCTGTATAGGTTCCTTGATTGTGGATAGCTTCTGTATGGTAGCTTTCTCAGATGCTGTGTGTTGTAGTGATGTATTGGACATATAAGGTGGCCCACTATCTCCTGCAGACCTGAAGGGGCAGAGGTCTCAGGAGGCTTATCTTACGGACTAGCACTAAGATCTCTGTCAGCAGATTTTTTATTTCATGTTGCAGTTTAGTTTGCAGTACCATAAGAGGTGCTTAAAAGAAAGAACTGTCTTGTCCTCAAGTAGGCTGATGACGGGTTGTGCTGAGGTCTTGAAGAAAGGAGTTGGGTTGTTGTACCAGTTCCTCATTCTGAACCAGAAGGAATTTGATCTGCTTCCCTACCATGCCCCTGTTGCAAACCAAAAGACTTTGCCTTTTGGTTCCTGGCTGCAGTGTGGCTGTGGGCAGTGAATACACACCTCTCATAGCAACCATTAAAGTTGGATTGAGGCAAAGTGTTTTCCTCTAGTCTAGAGCAGGCAACTCTACAACTTGTCTGTCCTCCTTTGCCAGGACATTGCTCTTCTCTGCAGGAAGGTGGAGTTGGGCCCTGTCCTTTGTGTAAGCCCAAGTAGCACAAGCTCACTTTCTGCGGGGGCAAAGCCACTGTGGAAAACATAAAAAATGCTTGCTCTGAGTGCATACACACCACTCTCCAATGAGAAGAACCACTGCTATGTCCTCAACAGTGCATGAGAAGGAGGCTCTGCAGATGATCCACTCTCTATGTCCGGTCCTCGGTGTTGTTGCTGCTCTGTTCAGTGATTGTTGCCTCACCTGCATTCCCTTTGTTCCAAAGGCTGCTTTGGTGGGCTGCACTCCCCCTCCTTAGAGGTGGCCTATGTTGAGGTTTAGATCTCCAGGGTTCCTGCAGGTCTCTGGGGACCCATGAGTTCCCCATGCTTGCAAAAGCCAGAGTGGGTTGTGTGGTACATTTGTGGAGGCTCTGGTGGTGCAATGATTCAAAAGCAGAGAATTCCTGAGCAAAGTGGTGACCCACCATGTGTGCACAAACCAGTATGGCACTCATTTTCTAAGTTTGGGTTTGACGGGTGTGTAGGCATGCCTGTGTGAGCTGGCCACCCAGTTCTGTGTCCCTAGAAATTTCCCAAATCACCACCGAGAATGTTGCTCTGGGTCACAAGGGCTGCCTAGCTTCCCAACAGTTTGGCAGTCAGCAGATTGTTGCAGAGGTGAGGGGAGAAAAGAAGCACTCCCATCTGCATCTCCCGTTTCTGTAGGGCTTTAAGTTCCTTGGGGATTAATCTCTGCCAGACTCTTGCCACTTTCCTTTTCTGCACCCCCGTTTCTTTTCATTGGCCTTTCTTCCCATGGGCACTTCAACATTGAGCTGAGGTCTTAGCTCACTTCCCTCTGTTTTCCACTCAGAAGTTTTCCATTCACCAGTAACTTTGATCTTATTTCTGAGGAGAACTGGCATCCAATGTTCCTAGTCAGCCATCTTGAGAATATCCAGATATCCATAAGAGTTTAAGGACTGTTTTTTCTATTCCTGTAAATAATGTCATTGGGATATTAACAGATTTCACTGACTCTGTGTATTGCCTTCAGTAGTATGGAATTGTTAATAGTATTAATTCTAATCTATAAGCAAAGCACGTCTTTCCAATTATCTGTATCTCCTTTAATTTATTTCATTAGTGTTTTACAGTTTTCAGTGTACAGGTCTTTTATGTTTTCACTTAAGTTTATTCCTAGGTGTTTTTTTGGTGTTATTATAAATGGAATGTTTTCTAATTTCCTCTTCAGATAGCTCATTGTTCATGTATAGAAATACAACTGATTTTTCTATGTTAATTTTGTATTC
Source organism: Homo sapiens (assembly GCF_000001405.40). NCBI lineage: Eukaryota > Metazoa > Chordata > Mammalia > Primates > Hominidae > Homo > Homo sapiens. The sequence continues at coordinate 87,951,041 of NC_000023.11, read as the reverse complement.
TGAAATTTACTATATTTGTTTACAACTTCTAACAATTTTTTGGTAGCATCTTTAGAGTTTTCTATATGTGAAACCATGTCATCTGAAAACCGGAATTATTTTACATCTATCTTTCCAGTTTGGAATTATTTTATTTCATTCTCTCACATAATGGCTCTGGCTAGAACTACCAATACTATATTGAAGAGAAGTGGCGCAAGTGGGCAATCTTGACTTGCTCTAATCTTAGAGATAGAGCTTTCAGCTTGAGTATGATGCTTGCTGTGTGTTTTTTTACATATGATCTTCAAGGTGTTGAGGTAATTTTCTTCAGTTCCTGATTTGTTGCAAGTTTTTACCATGAAAGTGTTTGAAGTTTGTTGAATGTCTTTTCTGCGTCTATTGGGATGATCACACACTTTTAATCATGTATTATGTTAATGTGTATCACATTATTTGATTTTCATATTTTAAACCATCCTTGCATCACAGGGATAAATGCCAGTTGGTCATGGTGTATGATCCTTTCAATTTAGCATTGAATTTGGTTCATTAGTATTTTATTGAAAACTATTACACCTATATTTACTGAGGATATTGGACTGTAGTTTTTTTTTTTTTTTTTCCTTGTGGTGTCTTTGTCTGGCTTTGGTAGGAGGGTAATGTTGGCCTTATAAAATCGGTTTGAAAATGTTCCCCTCTCTTTTATTTTTTGAAATAGTTTGAGAAGTAGTACTTTGTATTATTCTTTTTATATCTGTGCCATCAGTTGTAATGTTTCTTTTTCATTTTTGATTTTTTTATTTGCATCTTTTTTCTTTTTTTCTTTCTTAACCTATGTAAGGATTTGCCAATTTCGTTTATGTTTTCAAAATTCATCAGTTTTGTTGATTTTTTTCTGCTTTTTTTCTATTTTGTTTATTTCTGCTTTAATGTTTGTAACTTTCTTCTGCTAACTTTGGGCTTACTGTCTTTTGTTTTCAGTTCCTTGAGATATGATAGGCTATTTTTTTGGATCCTTAATTTTTTAATGTAGGTCTTTATCACTCTCAACTTTCCTCTAATACTCCTCTTACTGGATCTCATAAGTTTTGGTATGTTCTGTTCCTATTTCCATTTGTCTTGAGATATTTTTAAATTTCCTTTTTGTCACAATGGTTGTTTAAGAATGTGTTAATTTCCACATTTTTTTTCATTTTCCAGTTTTCCTTTTGGTATTGATTTCTAGCTTCATTCCACTTTGGTCAGAAAAGACACATAGTATGATTTCAATCTTCTTGAATTTTTAAGACCTGTTTTGTGACCTCCCATGATCTTTATCCTGAAGAAAGTTCTGTGTGTGCTTGAGAAGCATGTGTATCCTTTTATTGGGTGAAATGTTCTTTATATGTCTATTAGTTCCATTTGATCTAGAGTGTTATTTAAGTCTGCTGTTTCCTTATTGATCATATGTCTCCATATTATGTCTTTTTGAAAATGGGATATTGATGTCTTCTGCTATTATTCTATTGCTGCATTTTAAAGTAACTTCCATCTTGCTTGAAATTCTTGCTTTGTTCATACATGGTTCTCTTGATCCAAGTAAACATACTTATGAAAGTTATTTTTAAATCTCTGCCAGGTAAGTTATGCAACTCTTTTTCTTTAAGTTTGGTTCCTGGAGTTGTTCTTGTTCTTTTGTTTGGAAAACTTTTACTTGATTCTTTATTTTCCTTGACTCTCTGTGTTGGTATCTGAGCATTAGACAAAGCAAGTACATCTCCTAGTTTTCACACAATGGTCTCATACAGGAGAAGATTTCCAACAAAAATTCTAGCCAGATATTATGGGAGCATCTACCAACTCTTTATCTGCCCAGGAAGAAGCAGGCAGATGTGGTTTTGTTCACTCACCCTGTGCTAAGCTGTGGAGGAAGGAACTATGGCATCTACTAGCCTAAATTACAATCTCCTTTCTCCCTAGGTGGTTATAATAGGCTGGACCCATCAGAGTTTCAAGACTGGTGAGACTTACATCAATTATTCCTCAGGGGGAAACTGAGAGCTGGATGTCTCTTTCTTACTCTACGCTGGGTGGGGGCTGGGGTTGTTAATGGCATTTACCAGCCAAAGCCACTGCGTACATTTCACCCTGGGTACCTCAACTATGATGGAGCCTTAGAGCTCCAAGTTTCAAGGCAGAAGCCAGTCCTTTGAGGACCCCCTTCAGAAAAGTTGGGGCACCGGAAGGGCAAACCAACACCTTCTCTATTTTGGGTGAAACTAAGAGCTAGGGTTCTCCTCCCCATTATATGGTGCTGTTCTGGGGTAGGGATTCTAGCAAGAGAGTGTTCTGAATCATTCTACTAGCTTCAGTGAATCTGGTTTTGCATTCTCCTTAAGTATAAGAGCCCTTCAACTAATTTTTGATTTTGCACACAACCAAAATTGTGTGTGAATGGTTGTTGAATCACTGTGTTTGTTCAGGAAAGGGGGGTGCAGTGTTCCCTACTCTGCTATATTGCTGAAGTCATCCTTGCTATTATGTGTTTTTGAAATCTTTGCAAAGACCATCACATCATTTGTATCTTTCTACACCTTGCTCTTTCCAATTAGCATTATGTTTTCTAGATCTATTTATAATAATAAATCAGAGTCATCCATTACCACTCACCCAATTCCATTTTGGTATGTAATAAGGAAACAAATTTCAGTATTCTGTATTAGTCCTTTTTCATGCTGCTGATAAAGACATACTCGAGACTGGGAAGGAAAGAGGTTTAATTGGACTTACAGTTTCACATGGCTGGAGAGGCCTCAGAATCATGGTGGGAGGCAAAAGGTGCTTCTTATATGGCAATGGCGAGAGAAAAATAAGGAAGATGCAAAAGCAGAAACCCCTAATAAAACCATCAGATCCTGTGAAACTTATTCACTACCATGAGAATAGTATGGGGAAAACTGCCCCCATGATTCAAATTATCTCCAACCAGGTCCCTCCCACAACACGTGGGAATTATGGGAGTATAATTCAAGATGAGATATGGGTGGGGACACAGAGCCAAATCACATCATTCTGCCCCTGGTCCCACCAAATCTCATGTCCTCCCATTTCAAAACCAATCATGTTTTCCCGACAGTCCCACACAGTCATAACTCATTTCAGCATTAACCCAAAAGTCCACAGTCCAAAGTCTTATCTGAGACAAGGCGAGGCCTGTTCCATGTATGAGCCTGTAAAATCAAAAGGAAGCTAGTTACTTCCTTCATACAATGGGGTACAGGTATTGGGTAAATACAGCTATTCCAAATGGGAGAAATTAGCCAAAACAAAGGGGTTACATGGCCCATGTAAGTCCGAAATTCAGTGGGGCAGTCAAATTTTAAAGCTCCGAAATGATCTCCTTTGACTCCATATCTCGCATCAAGGTCACACTGATGCAAGAGGCAAGTTCCCATAGTCTTGGACAGCTCTGCCCCTGTGGCTTTGCAGCGTGTAGCCCCACTCCTGGCTGCTTTCATGGGCTGGCATTGAGCGCCTGTGGCTTTTCCAGGCACACGGTGCAAGCTGCCAGTGGATCTGCCAATCTAGGGTCTGGAAGACTGTGGCCCTCTTCTCACAGCTCCACTAAGGGGTGCCCCAGTAGGGATTCTTTGTGAGGGCTCTAACCCCACATTTCCCTTCCGTACTGCTCTAGCCTAACAGAGATTCTCCATGAGGGCCCTGCCCTTGCAGCAAACTTGCCTGGGCATCCAGGTATTTCCATATATTTTCTGAAATCTAGGTGGAGATTCATTCATTCATTCCCAAACCTCAATTCTTGATTTCTGTGTGTGTACCTGCAGACTCAACACCATGTGGAACCTGCCAAGGTTTGGTCCCTTTTAACAAGGGATGGAGCGGCTGGGATGCAGGGCACCAAGTCCCTAGGCTGAACACAGCATGGGGACCCTGGGCCTGGCCCATGAAACCATTTTTTTCTTCCTAGGCTTCTGGGTCTGTGATGGGAGGGGCTGCCGTGAAGACCTCTGACATGCCCTGGAAATATTTTCCCCATTGCTTGGGGATTAATATTTAGTTGCTTGTTATGCAAATTTCTGCAGCCAGCTTGAATTTCTCCTAAAAAAATGAGGTTTTCTTTTCTACTGCATCGTCAGGCTACAAATTTTCTGAGCTTTTATGCTCTGTTTTGCTTTTACAATGGAATTCTTTTAATAGCACCCAAGTCACCTCTTGAATGCGTTGTTGCTTAGAAATTTCTTCCACCAGATACCCTAAGTCATCTCTCTCAAGTTCTAAGTTCCACAAATCTCTAGGGTAGGGGCAAAATGCCACCGGTCTCTGCTAAAACATAACAAGAGTCACCTTTGCTCCAGTACCCAATGAGTTCCTCAGCTCCATTTGAGACCACCTCAGCCTGAACCTTATTGTTCATATCACTATCAGCATTTTGGTCAAAGCCATTCAACAAGTCTCTGGGAGGTTCTAAACTTTCTCATATTTTCCTATCTTCTTCTGAGCCCTCCAAATGGTTCCAATCTCTGCCTGATACCCAGTTCCAAAGTCGCTTCCACATGTTTGGGTAACTTTTCAGCAATGCCACACTCTTCTGATAACCAATTTATGAGTTTGTTTTCATGCTGCTGTTAAAGCCATATCTGAGACTGGGAAGAAAAGAGGTTTAATTGGCCTTACAGTTCCACATTGCTGGGGAGGCCTCAGAATCACGGCAGAAAGTGAAAGGCACTTCTTACATGGCAGCAGCAAGAAGAAAATGAGGAAAATGCAAAAGCATAAACTCCTGATAAAACCGTCAGACCTGGTGAGACTTATTCACTACCATAAGAACAGTATGGGGGAAATCACCCCCATGATTCAAATTATCTCCCACCAGATCCCTTTCACAACATGTGGGAATTATAGGAGTACAATTCAAGATGAGATCTGGGTTGGGACACAGAGCCAAACCACATCATTTCACTGCATACCCTTTATCTCTAGGTACTTATTTGTTTAATGAAACAACATAGAATTAGTAATTGATTCCAAGTATAAGGAGATTATTTTACATTTTCTCAAGTTTTAGGACCAAATGCAACTGCATCTTCCAAAATATTATCTTCTCTAACTTTAACCAGAAACTATTACAATCACCTTAATTTTTAGTAGGTTCATTTTTCCCAGTAAATTATGGCAGCATTTACAGAAAAGTTCACCAACTAGGAGGAAGTTATGTTCTTAGTTCCTTCCTTAGGCTTATGTGCTTGAAAAAGCTCTCTTGAAACATGACAAGAGCAGAGCAGAGGGCAAAGTGAGCAGAAGTAATTTGCTACTTAAGGCAGAGAGCAGAAGCTTGAACTTTTATGGCATATGAGAGAAGCAATTTCAGAGAAAAGCTGTATGCTTATAAAAAATATGTGTGTGTTTGTGTATCTGTATCTATCCATAATATACACACATGCATACACATTGCAGGGTGGGTATGCAGACAGTTGATTCGGTGTAATGGTATATGCATATATAAAGAGTTTCAAGGCCAGGTGCAGTGGCTCATGCCTGTAATCCTAGCACTTTGGGAGGCCGAGGCGGGCAGATCACCTGAGGTCAGGAGTTCGAGACCAGCCTGGACAACATGATGAAACCCCACCTCTACTGAAAAACACAAAAAATTAGCCAGGCGTGGTGGTGCATGCCTGTAGCCCCAGCTACTGGAGAAGCTGAGGCAGGAGAATCACTTGAACCCAGGAAGCGGAAGTTGCACTGAGCCAAGATTGCGCCACTGCACTCCAGCCTGGGCAACAGAGTGAGACTCCATCTCAAAAAAAAAAAAAAAAAAAAAAAAAAAGAGTTCCAAGCTTCAGTTTGAGAACTAAAAATAGATTTTAGCATTAGAAATTCTAACAAATTAAGTGAAAACCTGCTGTGCTAATTTGTTGTAAGTCTCAAAATCAAAAGTTTAATATTATCTTTGATTTTTAATAATGAATTCTTCTAGGTTTCCAATTTATAAACAAAGTGAAAAACCGACTTCTAATTTACAAGTTACAAAAATGAAAACACTACTATTATTGCATTTTAAGTAATGCACTTTAGGTTCTTTTCTGGGTCTAGACAGTGAAAAGATAATAAATCTCAGGACTCCAAATCACTAAGCCAAAGGGAAAAGTCAAGTTGGGAACTTCATAGGGCAAATCTGCCTCTCATTCTATTTGTAAATAAGATAGCTACAAAGATTAATAAAAGCCTCATACCTCCCTCACAATTTGCCCACAAGAAAATTTTCTGTGGACAAACAACTGACAGAACGCAAAGTCATCTCTCTGTTCACATGAGACAAATGCACATCTGATTGCTTCCTTTGGCCTATTGTTTTACTAAGCCAGAATAAGGCATAAGTGAGTAGTCATGTAAATTGTGTATTCACTGAAAGTCTAATCAAAAACTCAAAAGATTATCTCCATCAACTGCTGTTTATAAAGCACCTACTCTGTGTCAGGGACTGGATGGAGTGAACACTGGGGACACAGCTGTGAACAGATGAAAGAGTTTGTCCTATGATCTGCTTTTAATCACTAAGTTTCTACTTTCAAATACAAGGATGCTATACTCCATTAAAAATAATTTGTGCTTATGTTTTGACTTCAAAATAACACAGCCTAGATTGTCAGACTCTATCATTGTATAAATCAGAAGACCCCACAACTAATTGATGAGATAACCAAGAGATTTAGGATTAAATATCTATCAAACTGTTTTGAAACTTATAATTCATGAAAATTAATTATTTAGGAAGTGCAAGACATCTCACGACCTTTGAATTTTCTGAAATACTACATTATTTATCTTTTACAATAAAAAGGAACCTCAGAAAGGAAAATACATTCACTTTCACCCCCAGCCTTTTATTTTGTACTCAGGAATAAAGCCCTCCCTATGTAAACTCAAACAACAACAACAACAACAAACCTCAAAAGAATGTAACCGTTTGTCTTTTATCTACCTGTGACATGGAAGCCTCCTCCCCATTTCCAGTTGTCTTACCTTTCTGGACCAAACCAATGTATATCTTACATATATTGATTGATGTCTCACGTCTCTTTAAAATGTATAAAACCAAGCTGTGCCCAGACCACCTTGGATACATGTCCTCAGGATCTCTTGAGGCTGTGTCACAAGTGTATCCTTAACCTTGGCAAAATAAACTTTCTAAATTGATTGAGGTTTGTCTCAGATATTCTTTGCTTTAAAAGACTCATATATATAATATATAAATATCTGAAAAACTACATTTGTTAAAACACAATGATTTCTGGTTATACCTACAAAATAATTTCAAATGGTCATTATGAGAAAAATGACCATACTCATTTTCAGAGAATATGTAAAACTGTACATACTGCTTAGTTCCTGCACATAGAAATGTAAACACTTCAAAAATCCACTCACTCTTTCCCTTATTCCTTAGAGAAACTGTGGTTTTAAATGATAGCACATGCCTGCAATACTAATATATTTAAAATTTTGGTTTGAAGTTAATTTCCTTTAAAAATAAGTAAGTAAGTAAATGACACATTTAATTTTTGTTAAATACAAAATAAACATATAAATGTCTTACCTTGTTATTATCAGCTACTCTGAAAAATTGTTTGTCATTGAACAATTCTATTTTAATTGAGCATACATAAAATCAATTGGCTGAAACAAACTGCTAATATTGATTAAGCAACTTTAAAGATTGTCTCATTACATTCTAGGAGAATAAAGGCACACCAATTTCAAGGTTTTACACATAGTTCTAAGACCATGACGTACAGACTTTATGTCTGACTGTGCCTTCCCTTCAAGAGGAAAAAACACAGAGAGGTTAGGACAATATTACTTTTGGGATCATTTTCATTTGGCACTTACAGCAGTAAGAAAACCTAATTGAGAATGTTTCAGAAAACAAGATTTCCCATAATGGGATAAGTACTTATGAAGGATACCATAGACAATGTTTTGTGTGTTTGTTTTCATCCAAATTTACTTTTTTTGTTGTTGTGCAAAGAATTACTTGACTATTTCACTAAATAAGTAAGTGGAGAAAAAACTGGTTTTCATTTTCCTAAGAGTTTGGTTCTAGATAATTTTTTTGAACTCTTTTGAGCTCACTGACATTACACTCCAATAGTATCCCTCAACTTAGCACTGATTGTGATGTCTACACGCATCCTTCTCTACACCAGTCTCCCAAAAAGATCATAGCTATTGACATAAACTTTATTTGGTTTTCCCCACTAAGGGTAGTAAATTACTCCCATACTGTGTGAGTAAGCATTTTTTGTTTAAACCACATACAAGGGGAATTAGGATGTGAGTTGAGATGCAGTTCCTTTCTAAGGTTTTCTCACCCTACATTTTCATAAATAAAGGGAAAATTCAAGTGACCTTTTTCAAAATAAATAAAATCAGTTTCACTTGATTTAATTTCCAAAACCAAAGCCAAAAAAGACATTTCTTTGCCACCGAGAAAACGTATAATACTCTGCCTTCAATATCAGTTTATTTCAAAAAATTACCACTTGTCCTTGCTTCTCAGTTTGAAATTTCTGTTTCTGTCTAAAATGATTTAAAGACTATAAGATCCAAGGGATTGGAGTAAGTGTATGATGGGCCGGACACAAAAGTTCATTGGTAATATCTAGGTATACCAACAGAGGAAAAGATAACTGTCGGAAACTTGATTAAAAACTATCAAAAATATATATGGGTGTGTGGCAGACAGTCTTGGGTGATCTTCATGATCCCCACTGCCTGGTATTTATACTCTGGTATAATTTGCTCCACTTCAGTGTGGGCATAATCTGTGGCTTTTTTTTTTCAACCAATCGAATGTGGTAAAGGTGGGATAGTGTGCACTTTATTTTGTATACATAATTATTTTTATAAAATAGCAGTGTCTGTCTTGTGGAATAATTCACTCTCTTGCTAAATTTGAAGAAACAAGCTGCCGTATTGTGCATTGCACTGAGACAGCCACATACCAAGGAACTGTGGTTGACTTCTGGCTGACAGCCAACAAAGAACTGAGGTCCTCATTCTGTCAACCTGCAATATTGGCAACCGAATGTAGCCAATAACCACGTGAGCTTAGAAGCAGATTTTTTTCCCAGTCCAGTCTCAGATGAGAATCCAGTCCCGGGTAATACCTTGATTCATCCTTGCAGAGGCCCCGGTTATGTCACGCTCAGAATCCTGACTCATAGAAATTATGAGATAATAAATATATGTTACTTTAAACTGCTAAATTTGTGGTGATATTGTTATGCAATACAGGGCACAACATTGGCTGAAGCATAGCATTTTGAAGTGAGTGTTTTTTCCCCGTCTCTACTAAAAATAGAAAAAATTAGCCAGGCATGGTGGTGCACGCCTGTGGTCCCAGCTACCAGGGAGGCTGAGGCAGGAAAATTGCTTGAACTCCGGAGGCAGAAATTGCAGTGAGCTGAGATTGCACCACTGCACTCCAGCCTGGGTGACAGAGCAAGACTCCGTCTCAAAATAAATAAATAAATAAATAAATAAATAAATACATACATACATACATACATACATACATACATACATACATACAAAGCCAGGAAAGAAATAAAAGAACTTTAAGATACATACCATGTTTCTAGTTGGGGAAAATATGGTGGAGTATTCTTCTGAATATAAATATAATGATGCCTTTAACATACCTATACTGACTTATATATAGTAACTACTCAATAAATGTTACTTGTTGGCAGTGACTGTCAATAGTAAGAAGAGTTGTGATCGCTTCTAAGTAACAATGACTCTTTCAAAACTGCCACTTTCCCCACCATCTAACAATGTTAACTTCATTTTTTTCCTAAAAGACTCTGTATTAATGTGTTTTAAATATATTTGTAAGCCTTCTCAATTACAAAACAAATGGGCTATTGAAAAATGACATATAGTAATAGAATTCTAAAACATGGCACAGACCCAGGGAAACTTCTTTTGTGACTGAATATTCTAATAGTGATAGTCAGCCACAGAGTTTGAAATTTTTACTGCATTTCTCCCTCTTGAGACAAGCTGCTTACATTTAAACCCATGTTTTATTATTAGCTTTGAACCTTGGGGCAGTTACTTATCCTTGTAGCTCAGTTTTCTTATGTGTAAAATGGGGATAATCATATTAGCGTTGCTGTGACAATTAAATGAGTTCATTCATGTGAAGACAATTGAACAATGCCTAAAAAAACCTATATATTGCTCAATAAATGTAAGCTATTATTACAAAAATTCATAGCCCCAATGTAGAAACAACCTAAATGCCCATTTGCAGATGAATGGAAAAATAAAATGTGGCACATATATACAACCTTATATTATTCAGCCTTCCAAAAGAAGGAGATCCTACCATATGTGACATGGGTGAACATGGAGAATAAGCCACACACAAAAGGATAGATACTGCACAATTCCATTTACATGAGGTATCTAAAATAATCAAAGATGGTTTTGTTCTCACAGAAGCAGAGAGTAGAATGGTGTTTGCCAGGGTTGGTGGGGATAGGGGGAAATATGAAATGGGAAGTTGCTGTTCAATTGGTGATATAGTGTGCCTCTGTGTTTTCACCAAATCTTATCTGGAATTGTAATTCCCACGTGTCAAGGGAGGAACCTGTAATCCCCACACCTTGAGTGAGGGAAGTGATCAAATTATGGGGGCGGTTTCCCCCATGCTGTTCTCATGATAGTGAGTGAATTCTCACAAAATCTGATAGTTTTATACATGGTAGAGTTCGTGCGCTTCCACATGCTCTCTCTTTTGCCTGCCAGCATATAAGATGTGTGTGCTTCCCTTTCTGCCATGATTGTAAGTTTCCTAAGGCCTCCCCAGCCATGTGGAACTCTGAGTCAATTAAACCTCTTTTCCTTATAAATTACTTAGTCGTGGGTAATATCTATAGCAGCGTAAAAACAGACTACTGAGAGGTGACAATGTGCTAGTAGCACTTGCTTGCTCTCGCTGCCGCCTCGGCGTCTACTCTGGCCGCACTGGAGGAGCCCTTCAGCCCACAGCTGCACTGTGGGGGCCCCTCTTTGGGGCTGGCTGGGGCTGGAGCCAGCTCCCTCTGCTGGCAGGGAGGTGTGGAGGGAGAGGTGCCCGCTGGAGCCTGGGGCTGCGGTGTGGCACCACACAGCGCAGGTTCTAGGTGGGCGCCGGCTCAACGGGGCCCCACACTCTGTTTGGCCGCTGCGCCTGCTGAGCTTGATTGGGGGATGAGCTCCCTCTGAGCTGCTGGAGTGCCTGGGCTAAGGGATGAGCTCCCTCTGGGCTGCTGGAGTGCCTGGGCTAGGTGCCTTAAAGTCCTACAGCCAGTGCCACTGAGAGGTGAATCCAGCTGGGCTTCTGGGATGGGTGGGGACTTGGAGAACTTTTGTGTCTAGCTAAAGGATTGTAAATGCACCAATCAGCACTCTGTGTCTAGCTAAAGGTTTGTAAACGCACCAATCAACACTCTGTCAAAAACGGACCAATTAGCTCTCTGTAAAATGGACCAATCAGCTCTCTGTAAAATGGACCAATCAGTAGATGTGGGTGGGGCCAGATAAAGGAATAAAAGCAGGCCACCCCAGCCAGCAGTGGCAATCTGCTGGGGTCCCCTTCTGTGCTGTGGGAACTTTGTTCTTTTGCTCTTGGCAGTAAGTCTTGCTGCTGCTCACTCATTGGGTCCATGCCACTGTAACATTGACTTTTATGAGCCGTAACACTCACCAAGAAGATCTGCAGGTTCACTTCTGAGGCAAGGGAGACCACCGGGAGGGATGAACAACTCCAGACTTGCAGCCTTGAGAGCTGTAACACTGTAACACTCAGCGCGTCTCCGCGAAGGTCTGCAGCTTCACTTCTGAAGCCAGCGAGATCACGAACCCACCAGAAGGAAGAAACTCCGAACACGTCTGAACATGAGAAGGAACAAACTCAGGACACACCATATTTAAGAACTGTAACACTCACTGCAAGGGTCCGCGGCTTCATTCTTGAAGTCAGCGAGACCAAGAACCCACCAATTCCGGACACAGTACTACAATTGGTATGAAGTTTCAGTTATGCAAGATGAGTAAGTTCTAGCGATTTGCTGTGAAACATTGTGTTTATAGGTAACAATATTTTATTGTGCACTTAAAATTTAAGTGGGTACATCTTATTTAAATGTTGTTACAATATTTTTTTAAAAGCAAGATCTATGCATGAATTCAAAATTTAGAATGAAAAGGGGCCACAAAGATTCAGTAAAAAGTGTACTCCCTTTTCCGAACCACTTTCTTTCCTTCCTCAGAGGCAACTTCTTTTAGCATTTCCGTGTGTTCTAGCAGGATAAAGTGTGCATAGCCACACAAGGTCCTACACAGCAGGGAACACCTCTCATTTTTTGCATGTGTGCGGGAAAGTCAACGTGCCCTTTCCACCTGGAAACTCATGTTCTTTAGCTCTGAAAAATGTTAAAAATAATTCTAGTAACTTTTTTCCTCTCAATTTCTTTCTTTCTGGAATTCTTTTCCAATGTTAAATCTCCTGGACTGCCCTCTTTTCCTGTTAACCTTTTGGAAGATTTTACCTACCTCATATTTCAAATATTCTATTAATTCTTGAAAAAACTATTATTGTTTATTTCTAACAGCTTGTTTTTTCAAAACGAGTTTTTATTATATCCTCCTATTCTTGATTATAGTTGTAACATCTTTTCTATATCTCCAAATATATTGATTGTTTTTCCTTAAGTTTTTTTCTTTCTGTGTAGTCTGTCTTCCCTAAACTGCTTTTTTTCCTATTTACTGGCTTGTGTCTTTTATGTAAGAAGGTAGAGGTTTAAATATCGTTGTTTCGGAACTGAGTGGGAAAGTGGTATAAAGTGTGTTCTCAGAAATTTGCATATATATGTTCGCTTACTCCAGTGTTTTTGACATGGCTCCAACCATCTAAGCCTGACATCCCACAAATCCATAGATTTTTTTATTTTCATCTCCCCAGAAAACAAACATCTAATCTTATGTTTTGAGGGGAAAAGGGAAGACTCTGAGTGGAGTAAAGTGCAGAAGATTTAAATTGATCATCAAACAACCTTCACCTTATTTTTCTTTCAACTTCTCTGCCAGTTCCTGAGCTTACTGGGGATTTCTTTTCTGGTATGAATCAGATTATTACTTGCTTTCTTCACAGCCAGCTTGGCATTTGGCTTTCTTAGGTCTGGTAAGTCTCTTCTCTCTCCTTTCCTCTTAGCTTATTTTCCAGCTTCTAAAATTGTGTTGGCTTTGGCTTATCTCCTGCAATCCTTATCCTTGTGAATGTATCTTCTTAAATTATCCCTTCAGTGTAAATTTTTGTTGCGCTTCCTAAGGAAGCTTTATTAGAGGTATATATTTTATTGAACTTTTTTCTAAGTTACATCTCAAACATGGAGTTGTTTGTAGTTATCAGCCAGATTAGTACTTGATCTCTAAGAAATATTTGACTCTGCTAATTACATTCTTCCCGAGAAAACACTCTTTATTTTGCTCTCAAACTTTTCTTCTCCTATACCCTTGTCACAGCTCTTCCTTGCTCTCACATGACATGTTTTCTTTATCTGATCTTTAAATAATGAAGTTCCAAGGTGATGAGTCTTAGTCATTCTTTTCCTGTCACTGTAATTCCTCTCCATATAGTGTTTCTGAAAATTAGGTCCTCTGACCATCTGCATTAAAAATACTCATAACAAAATGCATATTATGAAGTCCCACTCCGGACCTGATCAATTAGAATATCTACAAGTGAGAGATGAAAATAGGCATTTAAAAAAATTTTTTTAGTAATATCACCCTCACAATTTTTTCATTTAAGAAAATTTAAGACCCATTTCCAGAAAAAAATTACTTATTATTTATGATTATACTAGTTACACAAGTTGGTAAGTTAGTCCTAATCTTCATACTGAAAACAGCAGTAAATGCTTAGTGTCCCTCAGAATTTAGGAGTGGTTTGGCTTTGTGGGTCTGACTTTGTTTTCTCATGAGATTGTGTTGCAGAACAGCCCTCTGTGTCTCTCACTTTTGCACATATATTTCTAATAATGCTTGGAGCCAACAGGCTTAGAAGATAGAGTGTCTACATTCAGAACTAAGGGCAAACTTGCTTAAAAACCATAATAATAATAATAATAATACATACATACATACCTCAAAAGCAAAGGGAAGGTTACATTAACCTTGGAATTTTTCAGCTGTGGTGCATGTTTAGCATTAATCTGGACAACATAACATCATCCCTGTGGGACAAAGGGATCAAGATGCAAGCATGAAGCTTTTGTTGCCTTCTGTGATATAACTGAAAAAGTTATTTGTCTCTCATTTTTGGGTGATATATCTTCCACCAGGGTCTATGAAACTGTGGCTGACTGACTTGTTATCTTAGAAGTAGGGTAAAATTCCAAACTCTTCACAGTTCTTGAAAGGTTACAGTTAGATATGAACAGGGACTATATTAATCTAAAGGTTTGACTGAAGTTGAAGGATCCATTTCCAGGGCTCACTCACCCTGTTGGCATGTTATTACTTCCTGTTGATGTCTCAGTTCGTCTACGTCATGACCCTTCCACTAATAGAGTGTTCTTATGGAATGGTGGCTGACTTTTTCAAGAGATGGTAATTTAAGAGAGCAAAGTGGAAGTAGCAATTCTCTTTATGACCTATTCTAAGAAGACACGTGTTCTTGTAATATGTCAGACACACAAACCAGATCTGATTCAGTGTGGAAGGAGACCACACAAGGATGTGAACTGTAGAAGGTGGAAAACATTGGAGGTCATCTCGGAGGCTGGATACCACAATCACACTATCTTTAATTACCAATTACATACAGGCTGGATTAGAAAGTTATAAATCCATCCTAGACTTCTTAAGAGGCCCAGCTTCACATATTCAATTACCTACTATTCCTGTCCATTTGGAAGCTTGAAAAGTGGCACAACCACAACATGAACAAACTGAACTCTCGGTTTCTTTCTCTTTCACAAACCTAACAGATTATTTCCAGTATTAAATATATTAGTGAATATTACAACTATCAATCTGGTTGAAGAACCTAAAAATTCAGGAATCATCATTAAAATAGTCTACTACGTCATACATAATCTACCACTGATCCTTCAGTTCCTAAATATCTCCTGAATATTCATCCACCTCTTTCTATCTCCACCACCACTGCAGTGGTGGGGCTACCATTACCTCTTCTTTGGACTACCGCAATAGCTTCCTAATTGGCTCCACTGAATCATCCCTCAGCCTCCCATATCAAATCATTTATCCACAGAGCAAAGAGAGTTATCTCTTTTACAGTGTAAGTGAGATCATATTAGTCTCCTGCTTAAACTTCTTCAGAAGCTTGCGAATCATTGGAGCCCATCTTGCAGGCCTTGAGAATCAAATGTGATCTGCTTATTATGAAAAGCCTTGGCATCATCTTGCTCCTGCCTTTCTAGCTCCATTATACTCCTCACAAACTCCATCGATACCACATGAGTATACTTTTCAGTCCATCAGAGGAACAATGCCTTTATGTAATTTATGGGCATCGGATATGCCATAGAGTGCCTTCTCTTTTTCTGCCACTTACTTGTTTTCATTAATTATTTATATCTTAAAAATTACTTCCACAAAAAAAGAAGGACCGCTTCTAGACTATACAGAGGTTTTGTATAAATTAAAGGCACCCTGTCTGCAAGAATACAGTATCATTAACACAAAGCTTGGTAATTGAGAGCACTTTTGGGGAAAGAAAGCAGCTCTTTTTCCTCTGGGCACATGAAGCCAACATATACAGTAGTAAATGCATAGCCCTACACAGTGCCTCCACAGGGAAGACATTCCTGACCTTTGACGCCTTCCAGACTAGATAAGGTCATTTTATTTTTAGCTCTCATCACTCACTACACTTCTCTTTTATAACACTTGGTACAATTTATGTTTACATATGAATCTGTGTGATTGTGCTACTAATGTCTATTACTTCCACTAGAAAAAAGCACTCAAAGGGAAGAAATGATTTTTCTTTTGGTCATGAATGCATTCCAAGAGCCAAGCAATACTGGGCTCATAGAGGATGCTTAATAAATACATATTTAATGTGAATGCATGTGCACACACATATGAACGTATATGTATATAACCTACAAAGAATAGCAAATACAAAAACTGATAACAAAACTTTGACATGAAAAAGTATGCAGAGCCTATTTTAACATCAAGTGACAATTTACTGAGATGATAATAAAAGATTATTCATAACAGTCGTTTTTCCATGCTTCAGGCCTATAAAATTATTTAACCATTACTCTGATACCTGTCACTCCAGGCTTGTCAGAAATTGGACAGGGGTTTAGGTGCCATTTGTACTTTAATATTTTCTCTTAACCTAACTAGAATGTATGTCTCCTAATTAAGTTAAATATATCTTCTTTTGATCCTAATAAACTTGTCTTGTATTACCTATGTTGTAACATTATTCTCATTACCTTTCGTTTGCCACATCTTTCTTAACTCTTCACCTTCTATGACATCTTTACTTCTTTAATTATGCACAGTATTAAACATTCATCATCACTCAGTCTTACATATAATATGTATAGCAATTGGCCATGTGACCTTCAAGGAGTCATTTCATATTATTGGACCTCCTCAGCTTATGTGGTAAGTTACAGAATTGAACTCAATGCTGTCTAAGATATATTAGAGCTCTAAATTTCTGTGGTAATTCTGTTTAGGGATTCCATTTTTTTCCTGTTTCAATCTTCATCATTTCATTACAAGAACACAACATAGGACATAAAAAATTTATCCTTAAAAGAGTTAAGAACAATTTTAGAAAAGACACAATGCTAAACAATATGAAACTGCAAGTTAACAGACATAACAAGATCCAGGAGTTAGAGAACACCATGTACCAAAGAACTGACAAATGACTTTCTGGAAGAGGAGGGATATAATGAGGGCTGAATGCTGAAGGAGCGCTGAGACTTGAATATGTCAATGTTAAAACTTTGGGCGGCATTTGAAGTGGAATAAAAAATCAAGTCAAGGTCTCAAAATTAAGAATGTTTGCATTCAGTGTACAATGAGGCTAATAAAAAGGAAATGGGAAATAATATTAAGGGGGAGCCAGGTTATAGAAGACCTTGCTGACTCAGTGAAGGATTTTTGACATTGTCCTGCATACACTGGGATACTTTTGAGATTTTATTTAAGGGCATAATTGGTGCTCATATGATGAAGGTAATGTTTTAGAAAAATAAATGTGGAAACTGTGTGTAGGACAGGCTAAAGGGGAGGGACATTGAGGGCTATGAAAACATAACTCATATATATTATAAAAACAGACTGATAAATAGGTAAGTAACTTTTATGTAAAAATCAACCTACCCAAAATATAAAAAGTAAATATTATTTAAGACAATTTTATAAATGTCTTATAAGAAACTACAGAGGTAAAATTACTTATAATTATCAAAATCATAATATAAAGCAAAAAGGAAGCTATTATGAGGTACATGCTGAATATTTAGGTTTTGAGAACCTGATGGATTGTAAGACAATTAAAGACACCACACTACTTCTAATTGAGTAGGAGTTTCTTTATCCTTATTGATTGCCAGAATCAATAGCACTAATGGTTTTACATGCCCTGGACTTACCCTGTATATTTGAACATGTCAGTTCTAAGTACAAATAATCAGAGTTTACCCATGTACTTAACTATGCTCATTCTATCACTTAGTCAATGTCTGCTTGTATGCTTTAATGAAAGTCAAATGTTGCATGATAAAAGTTATTAATATTTATTTATTATTACCAAATCAAAAATCTGAACATATAATCTTACAAAGATTTTTTTGAATTACAAAAGTTATAATAAAGATAAATTTATTTTAGCTAAGCATATAATGAATTGCTATGTTGAAAATGATACAATTATATAAAATTGTGATACAATGATACAATTATATAAAACTGTCTCCCAAATCCTAAAATATGTGTCTAATAATCCGGTGGTTTTCTAAAAATAAAAAATCTGTTCTATGAAAAGAGCTAAAATTCTCAACTGAGGAAAAGAAGAAAAGTGGAGGAGATAAAGGGTGCATTGAGGAAAATTATAAAGGCTGCATTTGTTACAGGTGAGCCTTAAAGGATCCATTTATTTGTTAAAAATAAAATTGCTGAGGGACAGCTTGGGCTAGGCACCACGCTGAATTCTAACAGTAAACAGACGTGACCTTACATTCACATAGCTTACCATTTAATGGGAAATATTTTCAAAAGCTAAGATAATAAGAAAAAAGCAGAGCTTATGACAAATTTTAAGTGTATTTTTTGTACATATGATAATTATGTAACAAAATATAATAATTTGTTACAGAAGATAAGTCTCTGTATTAGTCTTCCTTTGTTATGGCAATAACCCCCAAATCTCACTGGCTTATAATAACTCTACTCTATTTTTCACATTAAATGGCAGTTACAGATCACCTGCTGGGGTCAGCATAACTCAGTTCCATTTTCCTGCTTATTCTAGGATCCACATTTAATGAGTAGCCACTACCTCAACATACTCCTTTTTTTTTTTTTTCCTTTTGGCACAAGGAACAAAGTCAAAGAGGGCAAAGCTAAAAAGCTAAACCATATAAACCCACTTAAAACTTCTGATTGGTCAAGGTGTATGTTGTATTCCCTTGGCCAAATCAACTCACATGGTCAAACCCAAAGGCAATACATTGAGGAAGTATATGCCCCTTGCAGGAAACCATAGTAATGGTGGAGCAGTCATCAGTAATTATCAGCAAATAATACAACTTAACATTGGACTATTTGAGATATGTTGGTCAGCAAAAACATCTCTTTGGATGAATCTTCCGATCTGATACCTGAAAGATAAGAAGAATCTAGCAATGTTGAGATTTAGAGTAAAATAATTTTAGATAGAAGAAATAGCAACCATGAAATTTCTATTCTGAGAAATTGCTTGGAGAATTCTAAGAAATATTTGAAGTCAGTGTGATTGTACCATAGAGAGTAAGGTTGAGAATAGAAAAAGATGAGAACTGAAATAGAGAAAATGCCAATTCATATAGAGCATTATAGGACATGTTAAAGGGATTGGTATATATAATAGGTATAGTAAAAGAATAGCTTTTCAAAAAGAAATAAAAACATGAAAAGATGCAAAAGTCTAGTATATGATGTATTTTGGAATATGATAAATGGTGTGGTATAACTAGAAGATAGCATTTGTGTGGATAAGTGTGGCTTAGAGTGAAGGACTGTGAAAATAGTAAAGCAATTTATAGGTAAGATATGATTCCATGGTATAATCAACAGACTTTGAAAGGTGACTGGAGGTTTCTAATGAGAGCAATAAGTTGTAGCCCTAAAAGTTTCAAGTTTGGACATGTTATCAGTAATCTTTTTCTCCAGAACAAAAAAAAAGTTACTGACTAAAGTGATCACTTATTTACCACAAAATGTTGTGTGTTGGTAACTTGAAACAGGCTCAGCTGGGAAGCTTTTCAGGTATCAGTTAGGCTCTCTCATGTGCCTGTGATCAGTTGCTAGTAATCTATATGGAACTGATTCTGAGGATTAGAAATTTTCGCAGTGTCAACAAACACAAAATATCTTATCATTTAACATGTTATATCAGGTTTATTCGCATGATGCATTGACAGAGTACAAAGAGTAGAAGAGCAATCAGGTGCACAACCTCCTCAGACCTTGTCTCATAACGAACAATATGTCCCTATTTGTCACCTTCTATTGGACAAAGTAAATTACAAGCAAAAAGCCCATATTCAAGCAGGAGATAAATAGGTTCCATCTTTTGATTGGAGGAGCTGCGAAGTCACATTGAAAAGGGACACATATACAGGGTGTTATAAAGCATCATAGCGTTTTTTTTTTTTTTGCAATCTATAAAAGATTACTTACCAAAATAAGAAAGAAAGACCAGGAAGGAGATTTGAGAGGTACAATACCTGGGTAGAGTTGAAGATGTTTGTTAGACAGTTGGGTATTGTGTTCTAAAGTTAAGACAGTTATAAGCTAGAGATATTTGGGAACCACTTGTTAACAAATGAAAATTCAAATTATAAAAGTTGATGAGATCCCCCAGAAAAAAAAAACATGAAAATATGGGAGAACTGAAAAAAAATTGGAAAACAGAGAATTTTAAAAATAGACATAAAAATAGAAAGGAATAAATTATTAGTCAGGCAGGTAACAGAAGAAGAGGAAGAGGAGGAGGCTCAAAGTCCAAAAGAATACAAAAATTTTAAAAAGATGAATTGAAAAGATTGGTGATTTCTGCTTGCAGTCATGGTGGAGTGGTTTGCTACAGGCCAATCTTCTCACCAACGGCAACCAGAAAATATGAACAAAATGTGTTTTAAAAATTTAGTTTAAAAGCATCACAGGGCTCCAGGGCAACAAAGATATTATGGGGAAGCAAAATTTTAGAGAAGAAGAGAAACAAAGCGAGTTGGGCTTCATGAGCTTGAACAAAGTAGGTGTCAGGGAGTATAGAAGCTGAGTAGAGATGAGTATAGAAGATGGCATACCTACAAAGTTTGGGAAACCAAAAAATGGTGTTAAGGGACTTCCAGGAAGGAAGAATCCTGATAAACAGCCCAGGTTTTTCATTGAATTTCTTGAGAGGCTACTCCTGAAGTGTAAGAGGGAACCAGAAATGACCAACTCTTACAAGACTTATAATCAATGTAACTTATGTTTGGATGAAGTTAATTTGTTAAGTTAATCCATAACTTTTTGCAAGTAGCAAAAGCATATTCTCTTTGGAGAAGCATAACATTGGAGATTCAAATTAGCTCTTCAATATATCATACGGAAGTATTGAGTCAATCAAAAACTTATAAGCATAATTAAAGACAGGACCAAAAGACTAAGAAGCAAGTAAAAAACAGATCATAGCAACACAATCCCAAAAGATACAGATATCATAGTTGTTAGACATCAACTTTATAATTAATGTGATTAATATGTTTAAGATTAGATCTTTGTTGGATGCAAATATTTTCTCCCATTCTGGAGGGTGTCTCTTTACTCTGTTGATAGTATCTTTTGCTGTGCAGAAGCTCTTTTATTTAATTAGGTTCCATTAGCCAGTTTTTGTTTCTGTTGCAATTGCTTTTGGACTCTTTGTTGTAAAATTTTT
The DNA here is from genome assembly GCF_000001405.40 of Homo sapiens. NCBI lineage: Eukaryota > Metazoa > Chordata > Mammalia > Primates > Hominidae > Homo > Homo sapiens. The sequence goes on along the minus strand of NC_000023.11, from coordinate 87,929,827 downwards.
GTCCATTCCTATGTCCAGAATTGTATGTCCTAAGTTATGTTTCAGGGTCTTTTTAGTTTGGGTTTCACATGTAAGTCTTTAATCCATTTTGCATTAATTTTTATATATGGTGTAAAGAAAGAGTCTAGTTTCAATCTTCTGCATATAACTAGCCATGATGCTAGCATAATTTATCAAATAGGGAGTAATGTCCTTATTGCTTTTTTGTCAACTTTATCCAAGATCAGATAGATGTAGGTGTGTGGCATTATTTCTTGGGTGTGTATTCTGCTCCCTTGTTCTATGTGTCCATTTTAGTACCCGTGCTATGCTGTTTTTGTTACTATAGGCTTGTAGTATGGTTTGAAGTTGGGTAGTGTGATGCCTCCAGCTTTGTTCTGTTTGCTTAGGGTTTCCTTGGATATTCAAGCTCTTTTTTGGTTCCATATGAAGTTTAGAACAGTTTTTTGTAATCCTGTGAAGAACGTCATTGGTAATTTGATAGGAATAGCATTGAATCTGGAAATTGCTTTGGGAAGTATGGTCATTTTAACAATATTAATATTTCCTATCCATGAGCAGGGAATGATTTTCCATTTGTTTGTGTCTCTCGATATCTTTCAACATCATTTTGTAATTCTCATTGTAGAGATCTTTAACCTCTCTGGTTAGCTGTATTCATAGGTATTTTATTACTTTTGTGGCTACTGTGAATGGAACTGCATTTTGATTTTGCTTTTGGCTTTGATTTTTTTTTGAATGATAGTAATTTTTGTACATCATTATTGTATCCTGAAACCTTGCTGAGTATTTTTTTTAATCACATCAAGAGTCTTTTGGGCACAGGCTGTAGGGATTTCTAGGTATAGAATCATATGATCTTGCAGACAGGGATAGTTTGATTTTCTCTCTTCATATTTGGGTGCCTTTTATTTCTTTTCCTTCCTTGATTACTCTGACCAGCCAGGATTTCTAGAAATATGTTAAATACGAGTGGTGAGAGAGGGCCTCCTTGTTTTGTTTCAGTTTTCAAGGGGAATTCTTCCTGATTTTGGCCATTTAGTGTGCTTTCGGCTGTGGGTTTTTTATAAATGGCCTTTATTATTTTGAAGCATGTTGCTTCACTGCCTAGTTTTTTGAAGGTCTTGACATGAAGAGATATATCTATTGAGATGATCATGTGGCTTTTGTTTTTAGTTCTGTTTGTAGCAAATAATAATTATCGATTTGCATATATTGAACAAATTTTGCATCACAGGGATAAAGCCTACTTGATTATGGTGGATTAGCTTCATGATATGCTGCTGAATTTGGTTTGGTAGTATTTTTTGAGGATTTTTGCATGTATGTTCATCAAAGATATTGGCCTTAAGTTTTCCTTTTTTGTTGTGTTTATGTGAGCTTTTGGTATCAGGATTATGCTGGCCTCATGCAATGAATTAGGGAGGTGTCCTTTCTCCTCAAATTTTTGGAATAGTTTTGGTAGAAATGGCACCAGCTCTTCTTTATGCAATTGGTAGAATTCAGCTATGAAATCATCTGGTCCTGAGTTTTTTCTTCTTGGTAGGCATTTTATTCCTTATTCAATTTCAGAGCTCATTACTAGACTGTTTAGGGATTCCATTTTTTTTCTGCTTCAATCTTGGGAGGTTTTATGTTTGCAGGAATTTATCCATTTCTTCTATGTTGTCTAGCTTGTGTGCATAGAAGATTTCACAGTAGTCTCTGAGAGTTTTCTGTATTTCTGTAGGGTCAATAATAATGTGTCCTTTGTCATCTTTGATTATGTTTATTTGGATGTTCTCTCTTAAAAGTAACCTAGCTAGTGGTCTATCTATCTTGTTAATTCTTTCAAATAACCAACTCCTGGATTAATTGATCTTTTATATGGTTTTCTGCATCTCAATTTCCTTCAGTTCAGCTGTGATTTTGGTTATTTCTTGTCTCCTGCAAGCTTTGAAGTTTGTTTGCTCTTGTTTCTCTAGTTTCTTTGGGGGTTATGTTAGGTTGTTAATTTTAGGTGTTTCTGACATTTTCATGTGGGCATTTAGTGCTATAAACTTCGCTCTTAACATTGCTTTAGCTGTGTCCCAGAGATTCTAGTATGTTGTATTTTTGTTCTCATTACTTTCAAAAAATTTTTAAATATCTGCCTTATTTTCATTGTTTATTTTATTGCACTGTAGTCTGAGAGTGTGGGTGGTATAATTTCAGTTTTCTTCAAATTTGCTGAGCATTGTTTAACGTCTGATTGTGTGGTTAATTTTAGAGTAGTGCCATGTGCAGATGAGAAGACTGTAAATTATGTTATTTTTGAGTTGAGATTTATGTTGATGTCTATTAGGTCCATTTGGTCAAGTGTCAAGTTCAGGTGTTAATCATCTTTGTTAGTTTTCTGCCTTGATGAGCTCTCTACTACTGTCAGTGGGGTGTTGAAATCTCCCACCATTATTGTGTGGAAATGTAAGTCTCTTCGACAATATCTAAGAACTTGCTCTATGAGTCTGGGTGCTCCTGTGTTGGCTGAATATATAGCCAGGATAGTTAGGTCTTCCTGTTGAATCAAAACCTTTACCTTTATGTAATGCTTTTCCTTGTCTTTTTAAATCTTTGTTGGTGTAAAGCCTGTTTTGTCTAAAATTCGGATAGCAGTCTCTGTTAGTTTTTGTTCGTTTGTTTGTTTGTTTTGTTTTGTTTCAGTTTACCATTTGCTTGGTGGATTTTTCTCCATCCCTTTAGTTTGAGCCTATGGATGTCACTGCATGTGAGATGCGTTTCTTGAAGACAGCCTTCCATTGTGTCCTGCTTCTTTATCCAACGTGCCATTCCATGCCTTTTAAGTTGGGTATTTAGCCCATTTACATTCAAGGTTAATATTGACATGTGTGAATTTGATCCTGGAATTGTGTTGTTAGCTGACTATTATGCAGACTTGTTTGTGTGGCTGCTATATAGTGTCAATGGTCTGTACAATTAAATCTGTTTATGTAGTGGCTGGTAACATTCTTTCCTTTCCATATTTAATGCTCCTTTCAGGACATCTTGTAAGGCTCGTCTGCTGGTTACAAATTCCCTTTGTATTTGTTTGTGTGAAAAAATTTCATACCTTCTGTTATGAATTTTAGTTTGACTGAATATAAAATTTTTGGTTGGAAATTCCTTTCTTTGATTATGCTGAATATAGGATGCCAATCTCTTCTGGCTTGTAGTTTTTCTGCTGAAAGATCTGCTGTTAGCCTGACAAAGTTCCCTTCGTAGTTGACCTGCCCCTACTCTCTAGCTACATTTAACATTTTTTCTTTCATTTCAGCCTTGAAGAATCAGATGACTATGTATCTTAGGAATGGTCTTATGTAGTATCTCACAGGCGTTTTCTGCATTTCTTGAATTTTAAAATTGGCCTTTTAAGTGAAGTTAGAAAAATTTTCATGGATGATATTCTGAAATATGTTTTCCATGTTGCTTGCTTTCCCTCCCTCTCTTTTAGGTATATCATTGAGTCACAGATTTGGTCTCTTTACATAATCCCATATTCTTTGAAGGTTTTGTTTATTTTTTATTCCTTTTTCTTTATGTTGGTTTGACTGTATTTATTTGGAGAACCAATCTTTGAGCTCTGAATTTTTTTTCCTCATGTTGGTTTATTCTGCTATTAATACTGATGATTGAATTATGAAATTATATTCCATTCATATTCCATTATGAATAATGGCTATTTCATCTCTCAGCTCCAGTATTATTTTATTGTAATCCTTATATTTCCTGTATTGGGTTTTATCTTTCTCCTGAATCTTGATGATTTTCATTTGTATCTGTATTCTGAATTCTATTGCTGTCATTTCAGCCCGGTTAAGAATACTTGCTGGGGAATTACTGCAGTCATTAGGAGGAAAGAAAACAGTTTGGCTTTTCGAGTTTCCAGAGTTATTTCATTGGTTCTTTCTCCTCTGTGTGGGCTAATCGTCTTTTGAACGTGGTGTAATTTGAGTATAGCCAGTTGACTTATTTTCTGGATGTTTTCAGGGATCCAAGGCTTTGTGCAGGGTCTTTATTTGTAGCTGGGTTCTTGTCCTTTGTTTCACAGGAAAAAGATTTGGTGAAGTGATTTTTGGTGTTCAATTTTGGGCTGTGATCCAGTAGATGGCACTTGAGTGTAATGGTCAGTAGCTGGGCTCTTGCTCGACCAGGTGTCTGCTCTGTATTTCCTTATGATTGCACCTGTGCTCCTTCTCAATGCTCTGAAAGTGTGAATCCTCTCCCACTGTAACTGCCCCATGGGTTGACCTTGCCTGCTGCCTAAACAGAGCCGATTTATCAAGACAGGGGAATTGCAATAGGCAAAGAGTAATTCACTTGGAGCCACCTGTGCTGGAGAACAGAATTTTATTATTTATCAAATCAGTCTTTTCGAACATTTGGGGATCAGGGATTTTAAGGACAACCTGGTGGGTACGGGGAAGCCAGTGAGCCGGCAGTGGTGATTGGTCAGGTCAGAGATGACATCATAGGGAGTCAAAGCTGTCTTCTTGTGCTGAGTCAGTTCCTGGGTGGGGAGCCACAAGATCAGATGAGTTAGTTTGTCATTCTGAGTGGTGCCAGTTGATCCATCAAGTGCAGGGTCTGCAAAATATCTTAAGCACTTATCTTAGGAGCAGTTTAGGGAGTGTCAGAATCTTGTAGCCTCCAGCTACATGACTGCTAAACTGTAATTCTTAATCTTGTGGCAAATGTATTAGTCCTACAAAGACAGTCTAGTCCCCAGGCAAAACGGGGATTTGCCTTGGGAAAGGCCTGTTATCATTTTTGTTTTAAACTATAAACATTCAACTAAATTTCTCCCAAAGTTAGTTCAGCCTATGCCCAGGAAGAGACAAGGACAGCTTGGAGGTTAGAAGAAAGATGAAGTTGGTGGGGTCAGATCTCTTTCACTGTCTCAGTTACAATTTCACGATGGCAGTTTCACCACTCTGGTGCTGGCTGCAGATCTCAGCTTGGCATGGGAGGGCCGCATACCACAGCCCTGGGGTGACCTCTGGCTTTATATTCCTTCTCCAGCTTGGAGGCATCAGGGAAAAAAAAAAAAACTTTGACAGTGGCTGTTACAGAGGGCCTTTCACTTGTCTCTTGAGGCTCCACCCCAGAGAAAGGCAGAGCTGCTACCCGTTGATATGATTGGCTATTAGTTTGGGTGGCTGCACTGTGGGCCCATGCCAGGGGGCCTTGCCTGGTGATGAACAGGGAAACAGGGGCTCTCAGAAAAGGCAGACTGGTGTCTTCTCATGAGGGCAGCTGCAGCTTGCTGGAGTTACAGTTAAAGCTTTCTTGCTCCCTTGGGAGCTCTCTCCCAGGGAAGTTCAGAGCTGTTCCCAGCCTGAGAACTTAGGCAGGAACGGGGTGGCCTCACTTGCACCCCAGGCCAGTGGGCCTTATCCTGTGAGGTGCAGTGGAAGTGAGGCCTGGAGTCCATTACTATTCAGCCCTGTGGATTTTGCCCCTTTCATGGAGGTGTGTGAGGGAGCCTGACTTCCCCCATTGCTGGAGCTGCAGCCACTTGTTCTGGGGTGCGCGGGCATCCAAGAATTCCAGGACTCTGCATGTGTCTGAGCAATGGTTCTGCTCAGATTCCACATAGCAGTCTGTGTCAGACAGATTCTACACAACCGTGTCAGTCTGGAGGCCATGGTGGAGGGGGTGAGTCACAAAGTATCTCCAGAGCTCAGAATTGAAAGGTCCATAGAAGAAGTGTGGGTTCCCAGAGACTCCTGCGCACACAGTGTTTCCCAATAGTGAGGGGCCTTCCCTGGCTCCATGCCTCTCCCAGGTGGGCAGTTATCCTGTCTTGCTTTCCCCTTTTCTGCAGGGGTCATGTTGTTTCCTTGATGAATACTAGTGTGTCCACCTGGACACAGTTCCTGTTGAAGAGCTAGTGTTTACTTGCCACTCTTTCTTCTCCTCATGAGAATGGTACATACTAGCAGCTTCACTCTTTCACAAAAAGTCCAAAAAATTGGATCAATCTAAATAATAACTTCCTCTATTGATACACTAGCACTACTGTGCACTGCAGAAGAGAATCACAAAAGTGTGAATTGAGGTAACAAGACATTTCTAATCTCACTTCATCTGAGATTTTTTTTTTTTTAGAGAGGGAGTCTCACTCTGTCACCCAGGCTGGAGTGCAGTGGCGTGATCTTGGCTCACTGCAACCTCCACCTCCTGGGTTCAAGATTCTCGCACCTCAGCCTCCCAAGTAGCTGGGATTACAGATGCCCGCCACCACACCCAGCTGATTTTTATATTTTTAATAGAGATGGGGTTTCACCATGTTGGCCAGGCTGGTCTTGAACTCCCGACCTCAGGTGATCCACCTGCCTCAGCCTCCCAAAGTGCTGGGATTACAGGCATGAGCCACTGTGCCTGGCCATCTGAGATTTCAATATGACTCAGAAATTCTTGGATGTGTCCCTGGTTAGCATCTTTGAATTCCTGTAACAGCTATTCCAAATTTTTACTTCTCACCTCAACCCTCCAATCTTATATCATACCTCTAACTCACTAATTTAAGTTTCCTTCTAATTTATTGAGAAAACTGAGTCCATGCAGTATGAACAAACCAAACCTCTTGGATTTATAGCAACAACTTTTCTATATCTCTTGCTCACTTCTACATTTTCTCCTTCAGTTTCAGAACAGGTGGCCCTTTTTCTTTACAAAGTAGCCACTAATTTTATTCCACATTGGACCATCAATTATCTCTTTCTTTGGCACACTCAACTTTGCCCTCTTGACTGGTTTATTCCTCAGAGATACAAGTATATTGCCATAAAACATCTTTCTCCAAAGCGTAGTTAAGAGTCTCTTCATCTGCCAGCCATTCTTCAAAACACCGATCAGCCTTCCACCACTACTTTCCTGAATATCCAGGAGCAAATATTAACAGTAACCTCTTAATAGACTCTTATTAGTCCTTGTATAATTTGATGTAGATATTCAGACTTTGAGGTCCTTCTTCCATGGACTTCTGTACCAGAACTCTATTTTGGTCCTCCTCTCAATTCTCCAAACATGTTTTATTCTCACGCTTATTTTCTATTGCCTCTCTCTGGGGAAAAACAAAATATCAATGATAGTCAGGGTTATAGTCTCAGTTTTTACGTTATTTATATGGTCTCCCTAAACGATCTCATCTCTGTCCATGTCTTCAAATTTCATGGATATACAAATAGATGCCAAATATTTACATCTGAGCCAGCCTACTATCCTGAGTCCCCAACTTTTACAACTGTCTGTTATATATTTCCACCTGGATGTCCTACTAGTACCCACAAACTCTCCCCTTTCTTTACTCCTACATCCAAAAAGTCAAGAACTCTTACCTATTTTATATCTTCAAGGTCTCTCAAATATTTTATAAACATGCAATTTAAAGACATGTACAGAGATGAGATTGTTTAGGTAGACCATACAAATAACATAAAACCTGAGACTATAGTCCTGGCTATTATTAAAATTGTGTTTTTCAGCAATAGAAAAGAATGAGAAAAAAAGTGGTCAGGGAATTGAGAGGAGGACCAAATACTTCTGTGAGTGCCTTAGCTCTGACTCTTATTATATTTACCTGAAATTTTGAAACAGCCTACTAACTGGTCTCCCTGAAGTTAATCTTGGCTTACTTAACCTATTCTTTGTTATCATCAGAATTGACCTTTCTAAGATGCAAATGTAACCATTATTCTCCTCCTTAAAGCATTTTCACTGATTACTATTTTTTATAGGACAAAATTCAAATTATTTAGCAAAACATACAAGAATACTTGTTGATGTTTCAAGTATCTGCTTATCTCTCCACACATAGTGGACCACCTAGTCACTTCTAACTTACATGTTTAACAATTATTTCGTTAATCATATGAGTTAGAGACGACCAGGCTATGCTGCAATAACAACCAATCTCAAAATCTTAGTGGCCAATTACAACGAAGTTTAATTTTTTGCTTATGTAATATGTTAATGGAAGCTCATTTAGAAACTCTGTTTCATGTCCCCTCACTCAGGAATCACCATCTGAAGAACTGTTGGTTATCATTGCAGAGGTATAAACAACATGGCAAATAATACTCTGGCTCTTAAAGTTTCCACCGAGAAGTGACACATCTCACTTAATTTCATGAATTATTGCTCAAAGTAAGTTACATTGTCATGTTTAATATCAAAATAAGTTAGAAAGTACATTCCTGCAATGGGTCTCTAAGGAGGAATCCTAGAATATATGATAAAAGCCTCAGTGGAAACCTCATAGTAATGGCAAACACACACTAGTGGAAGCCACACACTCAATGGAAATCTCACAAATTTTTCAACCTGGAATTTTCTTCTCCTTTTTTATAAGGTACAGAAATTCAATTATCTTTTTGTTTTTTTTAAGAGATGGGTTTTCGCCATGTTAACATGGCTGGTCTCAAACTCCTGGCCTCCAGCCAACTGTCCACCTCAGCCTCCCAAAGTGCTGGCATTAGAGGCGTGAACCACCATGCCTGGCCCTCAAAAATCTTCAAAGAATCATTTCACCTATTCTATAAAATCTTTTTTTCTCAGCAGTTTCTAGGACTTCCAGTGTATTCTGTTCATATGTATTCTATGACGTTCAAAGTAATTCAGTGCACTTGGTAGATTGCATTTCTGTCTTCTCCCTCAGAATCATAAGCCATGCACTATTTTGTTGTCTCTACCATTAAATACCATACTTGGTGCATAGTAGGTGCCCACTATATTGCCAAATAAATAAATATTGTATGGTAGAATACTATTTAGAAATAATAATCTGTTTTCCTCCTAATGGGTAAAATAAATATATTTGATCATAAAATTCAAATACCACTTTCCTAGGGATTCAGGAAAATAATTGAAAGCATATTTTTTAAGAAAAGCTATCTTGTCCTCAGACCAGATAGATACAAGACACCAGGAGCTAGGAAAAAGGTTAAGTGGAAGAAAGGACCAGGTAGGACTAGAGGGAAAGCTTCAGAGACTGTTTTTACAGAATCAAACATCTATCACACACAAAAGTGAGTGACATTAAAGCAGCTAACCTTCTCTTTGCCATCTGGTAAAGACCATTGTTATATTTTTAATAATTTCAACTTCTATTTTAGGTTCAGGGGATACACATGCAGGTTTGCCACATGGGCATATTACATGATGCTGAGGTTTGGGGTATGATTGATACTGTCATCTAGGTGGTGAGCATAGAGCACAAGAGGTAGTTTTACTAGCATTACCCCCAATTCCTCCCCCCTCTAGTAGTCTGCAGTGTTTATTGTTACCATTGTTATGTCCATGAGCACCCAATGTTTATTTTCCACTTGTAAGTGAAAATGTGCAGTATTTTGTTATCTGTTCCTGTGTTAATTAGTTTAGGATAATGGCCTCCAGCTACACGCATGTTTCTTCAGAGGAGCTCATTTTGTTCTTTTTTATGGCTGTGTAGTATTTCATGGTGTATATGTGCCACATTTTATTTATTCAATCCACCATTGATAGGTACACAGATTGATTCCATATCTTTGCTATTGTGAATAGTACTGAGATTAAAATACAAGTGTATGTGTCTTTTTGTTAGAATGATTTATTTCCTTTTGAATATATATCCAGCAATGAAATTTCTGGGTCAAATGGTAGTTTCATTTTAAGTTCTTTGAGAAATCTCATTCTGACTGGAAAATCATTATTCTATGCCAGCCAGAAAATGTCATCTATCAATCATTAAGCTAAGATGATGCTTACTCCTGAATTTACTCAAATTCAATTTAACTGTTTTCTATATGGACAGTTTCTGCTTCAGAAGCCCACAAGTGTAGTAATGATGGGGGCATGTAATAGTTTGGATATTTATTCCCCCAAATCTCTGTTGAAATTTGATCCCCAGTGTGAAAAGTGGGGCCTAATGAGAGCTGTTTTTCTCATGGGGTCAGATCTTTTATGAAAGGCCTGGTGCTGTTGGAATGTTGATGAGTGACTTCTCACTCTATTAGTTTCCATGATAGCTGGTTGTTAAAAAGAGCCTGGAAACTACCTTCCCTATCTCTCTTGTCTGCTCCACTTTCACCATGTGATCTCTGCACATGCCAGCTCCCATTGCCCTTCTGCCATGAGTGAAAACAGCTTAAGCCAGTCAGCAGATGCAGATGCTAGCGCAATGCTTCTTGTACAGTTTGCAGAACCATGAGTCAAATAAACTCTTTTCTTTATAAACTGTCTAGTATCAGGTATGTTTGTCATTTAACTTTTAAGTTTAGGGGTGCACAGGTTTGTTATATAGGTAAACGTGTGTCATGGAGGTTTGCTGAACATAGTATTCCATCACCCAGGTATTGAGCCTGGTAACCATTAGTTATTTTTCCTGATCTTCTCTTCCTTCCACCCCTCAACCTCTGATAGGTCCCAGTGTGTGTTATTCTCTACATATTAATGTGGTATCATTTATCTCCAACTTATAAGTGAGAATATGTGGTATTTGGTTTTCTGTTTCTATGTTAATTAGATAAGAATAATGGCCTCCAGCTCCATCCATGTTCCTGTAAAAGACATAATCTCATTCTTTTTAATGGCTGCATAGTATTCTTTGATGTATATGTACCATATTTTCTTTACACAGTCTACTTTTGATAGGCATTTAGGTTGATTTCATGTCTTTGCTATTGTGATTAGAGCTGCAGTGTACTTATGTGTGCATGCGTGTTTATAAAGAATGATTTATATTACTTTTGGTATATACCCAGTAATGAGATTGCTGGGTTGAATGGTAATTCTGTTTTGGGTTCTTTGAGGAATCACCACACCGTCTTTCACAATGGCTGAACTAATTTACACTACCACCAACAGTATATAAGTGTTCCTTTTTCTCGAAACGTCTCCAGCATCTGTTATTTTTTTATTTTATTATAATAGCCATTTTGACTGGTGCGAGGTGGTATCTCATTTTGGATTTGATTTGCATTTCTCTAATGATGAGTGATACTGAGCTTTTCTTCATATAATTGTTGGCTGCATGTATGTCTTCATTTGAAAAGTGTCTGTTCCTGTCCTTTGCCTACTGTTTAATGGAGTTGATTTTTTTCTTATAAATTTAAGTTCCTTATAGATACTGTATATTAGAACTTTGTCAGATCTTTAGTTTGCAAAAATTTTCTCTCATTTTCTAGATTGTCTGTTCACTCTGTTGATAGCTTCCATTTCTGTGCAGATGCTCTTTAATTAGATCCCATTTGTCAATTTTTCCTTTTGTTGCGATTGCTTCTGATGTCTTCATTATGAAACCATTGTCTATCCCTGTGTCCAGAATGGTATTTTCTAAGTTATCTTTCAGGGTTTTTATACTTTTTGATTTTACATTAAATCTTTAATCCATCTTAATTTCTGTATATGGTGTAAGTAAGGGGCCCAGTTTCAATCCTCTGCATATGGATATTCAGATATCCTAACATCATTTATTGAATAGAAAATCCTTCTGCCATTGCTTGTTTTTGTCAAAGGTCAGATACGTGCATGTATGCAACCTTATTTCTGTTTTCTCTATTCTATTCCTTTGGTGTGTGTGTCTGTTTTTGTACCAGTACCATGCTGTTTTGCTTACTGTATCTCCGTAGTATAGTTTGACATCAGGTAGCATGATGCCTCTAGCATTACCTTGAATATTCAGGCTCTTTTTTGTTCCATATTAAGTATAACATAGTTTTTTATGTTATGAGCATGGAATGTTTTACCATTGTTTGTGTCATTTCTGATTTCTTAGAGCAGTGTTTTTTTAGTTCTCCTTATAGAAATCTTTCACCTCTCTTGTTAGCTATATTCCTAGGTATTCTACTTATTTATTTTTGTGGCAGTTGGGAATGGGATTGCATTCCTGATTTTGTTCTTGGCTTGACTTGTGCTGGTGTATAGAAATGTTAGTGATTTTGCACAATGATCTTGTATCCTGAGACATTGCTGTAGTCTTTTATCAGCTTCAGGAGCTTTTGGGTTGAGACTACGGTGTTTTTTAGATATAGGATCATGTTGTCTGCAAACAGGAAGTGTTCACAATATTCTCTGATGGTTGTTTTTATTTCTGTTAGATCAGTGGTAATACCCCCCTTGTTCTGAACATGTTTATTTGAATCTTCTTTCTTTTCTTCTTGATTAGTCTAGCTAACAGTCTATTTTATTAACTTTTTTAAAAAATACAAGCTCCTGGATTTGTTGGTTTTTTGAATGACTTTTCATATCTCTATCTCCTTCAGTTCAGGTCTGATTTTAGTTATTTCTTGTCTTCTGCTAGCTTCGGGATTTGTTTGCTTTAGATTCTCTAGTTCTTTTAGTTGTGATGTTAGGTTGTTAACTTGGGGTCTATTTAACTTTTTGATGTGGGCATTTAGTGCTATAAATTTCCCTCTTAACTCTGCCTTAGTTGTGTCCTAGATATTCTTATATTTTGTATTTTTGTACTCATTCGTTTCAAAGAGCTTCTTGATTTCTACCTTAGTTTCATTATTTACCCAAAAGTTATTAATGATTAGGTTATTCAATTTCCAAGTAATTGTATGGTTTTTAGTGAATTTCGTAGTTTTGATGTCTAATTTGATTACACCATTTTGCAAGAGATTGCTTGCTGTAATTTCAGCCCTTTTGCATTTGCTGAGGAATGTTTCCAATTATGTGACCAATTTTAGAGTATGTGACATGTGGCAATAAAAGTGTATATTCTGTTGTTTTGAGGTGGTGAG